>NC_000010.11:10010000-10161515 GCF_000001405.40 Homo sapiens | reverse complement strand
TAGCTAGACATAAAAGTTCTCCAAGTCCCCACCAGATTAGCTAGATACAGAGTGCTGATTGGTGCATTCATGAACCCCGAGCTAGACACAGGGTGCTGATTGGTACATATACAATCCTCCGGCTAGACATAAAAGTTCTCCAAGTCCCCACCCAACTCAGGAGCCCAGCTGGCTTCACCTAGTGGATCCCGGTGCCAGGGCTGCAGGCGGAGCTGCCCGCCAGTCCCGTGCCATGCACCTGCACTCCTCAGCCCTTGGGCGGTTGATGGGACTAGGCGCCACTGAGCAGGGGGCAGTGCCCGTCAGGGAGGCTCGGGCCGTGTGGGAGCTCAACACAGGTGGGGCTTGGGCATGGCGGGCTGCAGGTCCCGAGCCCTGCCCTGCGGGGAGGTGGCTGAGGCTCAGCAAGATTTTGAGCATGGCACGGGTGGGCCGGCCATGTTGGGGGACCCAGCGCCCCCTCCGCAGCTGCTGGCCTGGGTGCTAAGCCCCTCACTGCCCAGGGCTGGTGGCTCCGGCTGGCTGCTCCGAGTGTGGGGCCTACCAAGACCGCGCCCACCTGGAACTCACACTGGCCCGCGAGCACCACGCGCAGCCCCGGTTCCTGCCCGCACCTCTCTCTCCACACCTCCCCATAAGCAGAGGCTCCAGCCTCGGCCAGCCCAGAGAGGGGCTCCCACAGTGCAGCGGTGGGCTGAAGGGCTCCTCAAGTGTGGCCAGAGCAGACGCCGAGGCTGAGGAGGTGCTGAGAGTGAGCGAGGGCTGCTAGCACGTTGTCATCTCTCACCATGACGATTTACAAATGCCATGGCAACATCAGGAAGTTACCCTATGTGGTCTAAAAATGGGAGGCATGAATAATCCACCCCTTCTTTAGCATATCATCAAAATATAACCATAAAAATGGGCAACCAGCAGCCCTCGGGGCTGCTCTGCCTATGGAGTAGCCTTTCTTTTATCCCTTTACTTTACTAATAAATTTGCTTTCACTTTATGGACTTGTCCTGAATTCTTTCTTGAGTGAGATCCAAGAACCCTTTCTTGGGGTCTGGATCCAGACCGCTTTCTGGTAACACTTAGACAAAATCAGCAAGTGCTGGAAGAGACCCGACCACTATCTACATAAAGATAGGACTTCCCACCTAGAATGATTATTATTGTTCCTCTCCCTGTTATCTTATAATCCGTGACAGGAAAGAAGACCTAGAATGCAACCACACCTGAACAGACTTGTTTGCAAGATAATGACTATCTACACAGATCATTTAAATTCCAAAGATAACTATTTACAAATTAATTTCTGCTGCCTGATCCAATCATCCAATTCCTCTTCTTCCCCTCCCACAGCCTATCTGTCCAGGATCTAAGCCCCCATTCTTTCTGCAACCTCACAATGACATACAAGCTTCTGGGCTCCACTGGGATATTGGGCAATCACTATCTAATTCTCTCCAGGTGCTTGGTTAAAGAAATTCATATGCCTTTTCTCTTTTTAACACCTTATTTTCAGTTGCTTTTTCAGCAAACTGTCAGAGTGCCAAGAACCTTGCCCTCCCGCAACATTACCTCATAAAATTTACATTTTCTAATGATTTCTACTTTTTTTTTGTTTTGTGGATATTACATAGTCAATGGTATTGAATTACCTTTAAGAAAGTCTAAACCAAAAATAAAATTCTAAGCCTCTCAACTGATCAACGGACCCTCCCCTCAGCCAAGGGCATTCCAAAATTAACCTGAAAAACTAGTCCTGGCCATGATGGGAAGTGGGGGTCAGACATGCCTCACAATACCTTCCTCCCTTTGGAATTCAGACCTAGCTGACCAGCATTAACATCCAAACAGAGACCTTAAGACCAACAGAACAGATTCTTTTAATCTGATAGGAAACATTTAGAATCTATTCTCTCTGAAGCCTCTTACCTGGAGGCTTCATCTGCTTAAGAACATTGGTCTCCACAACCCCTTATCTTAACCCAGACACTCCCTTCTATTGATTCCAGGTTTTTAGATAATAGCTCTTGCAACCAATTGCCAAGCAGAAAACCTTTGAGTCTGCCTATAACCTGGAAGACTCTGCTATCAATTGTCCCACCTTTCCAGACTGAACCCAAGTACATCTTACATGTGTTGGTTGATGTCTTGAATCCCCCTAAAATGTATAAACCAAAGCTTTATACATTTATACATTCATAGCTGTGAACATGTGCCCGACCATCTGGGACACATGTTCACAGCATCCTGTGTCTGTATCATGGGCTATTGGTTACTCATAATTGGGTCAGAAAAAATCTTTTCGAATATTGTAAGGAGTTTGACTCTTTTTGTCTACAAATGTAACATTTCCTCTCCTTGACATTTCTTTTTCAGAAATGCTAGAATAGGCCCTGTGATGTCCAACACATGTGACTTCAAGACTTGCTCTCCCATTTACATGCCAATGCACCTACCTAGTCTTAAACATGTAAAAGAGAGATTGAGAATATTTACAGAATAGAATTTAATTATCACAAGTTATAAATGTGACATTGTAATGTCACTGCATGAGACACCATAGAAATCTTTGATTTAATTGCTTTGTATTTTAAACATCAGATATCATCAAAATACTTAAACAAAATCGAAAGGCAAGTCATTAATATGTACTTTGGAGATGAAAGAGAGTAACACAATATATGTTGGCCAATTGCTTCTGGGAAAATCTCCCTCAAGTGAGAGTGGATTTACAGGTGTCAGTGTTCAGAGATAACAGAATATAATGATGCTTTCTATAACACACACACAAACTCAGCATACTATCAGCCAGATCTAAGAAAATGCAAGCTGGACTTCATCCTTGTTTTTCTAGGTATTCCATAGTTGTACAGAGAGTTGAATTTTGGTCCATTATCATGATGGGTTATATGTGCACTTGCAGTGACAAACCATGTTATAAGATAGTACTCTTGTTACCATTCTTTTTTTGTTTTTGAGCGAAAATCAATCTTTAAATAACATGAAAATTGATCGGCACTGATTTAAAGATTATAAATAACTACTAACCTATGGAATTTATTTGAAAAGTAAAGTTTCTGTCTCATTGCAAGGGCTATTTCCCTACTTTTTTTTTTTTTTTTTTGTATACATCTTCTTGGCTTCAGCTAGTAATCCTCCTTTGAAATACCATGGAAACAAGCAAATATGGCTCATTAAACTTCCCTTGCAGGAGAAAAATTGAAGGAATTTTTAAATTGTAGAGTAGATAAAAATAAAACACATTTCTTCTCAGGGTGATTAGATTGGCCTTTTAAATTCTTTAAAGAAAGCTACCAGAGCTAGCAAAAAATATACAAACCAACAACAAAAATTCCCAAAACTATGTGTTTTCATATTTATGAAACTTGTAACAATAAAAAAACAACTGATGATCTATTGTATTTCTTGAATATGAAACATTCTTAATTCTGTTATTTATGACTCAACAATATTTCAGATATATTGTGAAGGTAAAATAACTTTCTGATAATGTAGAAACATAATTATGAGTGACATTATAGAGCTTCTTTACTAACAAGTTGTATTTTTATAATGCCTTTCGTTAAGAAGGGCTTTGTAGAAAAAGCATCCATAGCATCAATCCCATGACAAGTGATGAGTGTCTCACTTTGACCCATGAAAACAGAACCAGGTAGGTGGTGAGCTGTTTCATAATATGATTGGAGTTCCTAATAAGCCAGAGTTATTGAATTCTTTAGTTTCTTACTGGCCTAATAATAAAGAATACTCTTTTGTCTTACGGATATTTTAGCTTCCCCACACTAAAATATTGAAGCTAAAATTGACAAACTTGTTTTTTATTGAGGGTTGACACTTTCATATGTCTTGGAGCTTGGGGGTAAAAGACAATGTTAGCTTCAGTAGTCTTCATTTATTAGTTCACTGTCAGGAGAAGCTTAATGAATAGATTTCAGAATGCACAAACATCACAGTTAGTTAGAATCTCCGCTCTTTATTCTGCCAACTTGTATTGTGTACTCTTAACTAAGGCAGTAACCATTAGGAACGTGTCTTGAATTCAATGGCCAGTCTTCGAAAAACTGAATGACGTTTTTAAAGGCACACTGTGAAGTGAAAGGAGATACTGATTCTTGTTGTTAGTATTGTGTACATTGAAATCCACTTTAACAACCAGCAATCAATATATAATTCTTTCAAATCACTGTTTTGGAATTGTTGCTGTTGCTTTCTTGCTAAACCATGGATGTCATTCATTAACAACATGTTAATTTCCCATCCATCTGGATTGAAAGGTGTCTCTACCAGTGACATATTCACTGAGGCACCTAAAGGGGACCCTGAGACCGCCAACAAATTAAACAAACACAACTGCTTTGTTATATGACAGGCCCCAAATATGTCTTGCATGCAGCAATCATCGTCTAAATCTAGATAACGTTGTTATGCTTCAGCAGCTGGTGGCTATTTCCTGGCAGTTGGGAATCTGAGTTTCATCCCATTCCTTGTAAACAGGGCATGAAGGAATAAGGCATTATTATTAGATTTGCAGAGTTTAGATATCAGATACTAACCCATAAATTATAACAATGGCCCCAGTCTGCATAGATTGATTTTGTGTTTCAATAATTTAAACTCAACCTAGATTAAATTAAATAAGGTGATTGAAAGCACCTGATAATGCCTGGAATATATAAGCCATTCAAATATATTCATGTTTTCTTTTTCTCTTATACAGTTTCCTTGTTTGCCTTGTCTACTCATAGTCCCTATTCACGTGGGCTCTGCAATTCCTTTGCTTGGATGAAATGTTCCTCACTAAGTTGCAATACAATGCAATAATAACTATACTAGATATATCACATGTATTATTAACTAGGATGAACATTTTTTCCTAACTGATGATCAGTTATCTTGATTTCTTTTTTTCAATTCAGCAATAGATTTCAAGTCTCAATAACAGAAGAAAAAAAATATATTGACTCTGCTTGTCATTTATTTGAAACTTGTGGGACATTTTCAGCCTCAATTTTGTAGTCAAACGTCCAAAGGGAAACAGCAGCATGTTTTAAATGGTTGTGCTTGACATTGAAAACATTCTCAGTTTTGCAAAATAAGTTTACTTACTTTTTTTGACATTTGTAAATGTGACCAAGGGGAAAAGACATTAGCAGTCTCCCAGGATTTCCAAAAGAAGAAAAAAAGTCTTTATATTTTGATGCATGTACATCAAGGAAATTTACCATTTATGTGGAGTTACTTCATCTGCAAGTGAAAAGTTAGGTGGTAAATAACTTTTCTGTACTAATTCTGACATGTTATTATTTGCATAACGAACATATATATTACAGAATTGCTCAGGTTCTTTCATTGGTAATTTACTTTCCATACGTGTGCATTGAAACTCATGCACCATGTGGGGAGTTTAATTTTTTGTTATCAATATTTTGCCGACTTTAGTTTAGAAATCATTTTTTTTGTTCAATTTTGATTCTGGATCTTAAACAGTAGCATAGATTATTTGAGAAAAGAAGCATGAGGAAGTAAGAATGCTCAGAGAGAAGATGAAGATTGGAAAAGACTTTACAAAGAAGGTAGCGGCCTAGCTAAGGCTAAAAGAAGGAATTACTGGGCAAGGCTGGGTGCTCTGGTTCACACCTGTAATCCCAGCACTTTGGGAGGCCAAGGTGGGTGGATCACGAGGTCAGGAGTTCGAGACCAGCTTGGCCAATATGGTCAAATCCTGCGTCTACTAAAAATACAAAAATTAGCCAGGCATGGTGGCGGGCGCCTGTAGTCCCATCTACTCAAGAGGCTGAGGCAGGAGAATCGCTTGAACCCGGGAGACGGAGGTTGCAGTAAGCCTAGATTCTGCCACTGCACTCCAGCCTGGGTGATACAGCAAGACTCTGTCTCAAAAAAAAAAAAGAAAAAAGAAAAAAGAAGAAGGAATTAGCTGGGCAAACGGAAAGGGAGAGACTGAGGGGAGAATGGAGGAGATGTTAGTAGAGAAGAACAGATTGGTACAAGGCAAGATGGCATCAAAGAGCTCCGCCCAGGTGAAGTGGGTGATTGGGGACTGATCACAGATAAACTGGTGGGGTTGACAAAGAAGACTGGAATGTAATTGTGAGAAGTTTGGAACAGACTATATCCTGTTCTGAAAAGATCTATTCACCACTTTTCTTACTGTCAAATATTCAGTCATATTTTAGGGACTGGCTGCAGGGTCACATGTGTCATCCTCTCCAGATAAAATCATTCCTCGGAGCTCCAGCATTTTTTGGTTCATGTTTCTAGTGTAATATGTAGTAGAAAAAAGTTTCACACAGAATATATGGGATCTGATCTGTTAGAGATTAAATTATTTGCCCTTGAGATCTTTTCATGTCTGAATGTGGAAACGTACTTCACTCTTTAAAGCTATGAAGCACAGTATTTCATAATGTAGATTCATTTCTATAAAACTTCATTTATTCTCCATTTTTGCAAATGTTACTGTATGATTTTATTTTTCTTGCATGTCTTTGATGGTCTGTTTAGTTGAGGATAGTTTTTGTCTTTTATTTTTTTGAGACAGTGTCTCATTCTGTCATGCAGACTGGAGTGCAGTGGCACAATTATGGCTCATTGCAGCTTCTACCTCCTTGGGCTCAAGCAGTCCTCCTACCTTGGCCTCCTACATAGCTGGGACTATAGGTTTGTGCCACCATACCTGGGCTTTTTAAAAATTTTTTGTAGTGATGGGGTCTCACTGTATTGTTCAGGCTGGTCTTGAACTTGTGGAATCAAGTAATCCTCCCACCTTGGCCTTCCAAAGTGCTGGGATTATAGGCATGGACCACCACACCTGGCTGGTTTTCAACACTTTTTTATAAATCTCTTCTATTATTTGCTTTTCTATATATCTACTCTGTTTGCTAATGTACTGTTTCACAGGTTCATTAATTTACATATCTTTCCTGTATAATTAACAGACATACATTTATTAACTTACAAATTCTCAATATTATCTGCTTTATATGTTATAAAATATTTTCTTCCAGTGTATTTCTTATATTTTAATTATACTTATGGCATATTTTGTTACAAAGATGTTTATATTTTGATACCATTAAATATACCAAATTGATTAGGGAAGACAAGCAATGAAAAAAATGTATCAGTCTTTTCCTTGTCATTTTCATGTTGTGAATATCCCATATTTTCTTCTCATAATCTCATAGCTGCCTTATTTTTCTTATTTTCGAATTTAGTTCTAGCTGAAGTTTATTTTGTCTTTGGAAAAACAACATAAAATTATGTATTTTCCTCATCTTAAATAATCAATTGTCTTAATGCATTTTATTGACTAGGCCATTGTCACTTAGTAATTTGAAATGGGATCATTTTTATATTTCAGTTTCCCATAAATGCTGCAGCTACCTGTGAAATACCTATTTTGGTCCAATGATGTACTTGTCTACTGCACAAATACTACGCTTTATCATAGCTACAAATACTATAGCCTTATCATGCTTTTTTACATCTGGCAGAACCATCACTGCCTTATTATTTTTTTCTTTCTTTTCCTCTTTTTTTGAGATGGAATCTTGCTCTGTCACCCAGGCTGGAGTGCAGTGGCACAATCTCAGCTCATTGTAACTTCCTCCTCCCGGGTTCCAGCGATTCTCCTGCCTCAGCCTCCCAAGTAGCTGGGACTACAGGCTTGCCCCACTACACCTGGTTAATTTTTGTATTTTTAGTAGAGACGGGTTTCACCATGTTGGCCAGGCTGATTTTGAACTCCTGACCTCAAGTGATCTGCCCATCTTGGTCTCTCAAAATGCTAGTTTGTAAAATCTTCTTGATTAGCTTTTCACATTTAATAATCCATATAAAATTTGACTCATCTTTTCAATATCATGAACAAGTTTTGGAATTTTTGAATTGAATGGCATTGCATTCCTAGTATAATTCGAAAATATTAAAACCTTATAAACATCATATTTTCCAAACCATGGGCATTTTCTCTTTCTACGTAATCAAATATTATTTTATACTCTCAGGTCATATTATGTGGGTGTTTAAATAAAGGTCTTGCACATTTTTTGACATCATGATTATGCTCATGTATTTTATAATTTTTTACTGTTATGTTTCTTTATATATTTTAATTGATTTGCTGTAATAAAGAAAGCTATTGGTTTTTTAAAATTGATCTTGCGTCCAGTCACCTTACTGAATACTCTTTGAAAATCATTTGTCCAGTAGTGAATTGCCTATATGTATGCAATCATAGAAATATCAGTATTATCTCTAAAGTTATAATTTAAAATATCATTTTATAATGTTTTGTATTATTGTAAGTAAAATATACAGTACTTAGGGTGAAAATAGGTATCCTTTTCTTGTACCTGACTATAATGTGAAAGTCATGTCTCCTATATTAAGTGTATTTTTCCGTAAGTTTCTGGTAGTTTCATTTCGCTGTTAATTTTTTACTCTTCTCATTCCGTGGCATAGTTGAGAAGTGTTTACCTCCTTTCCTCACTCTTCCTTAGATGAATGGGTAGTTACTGGATGCAGGGGTTAAAAAGGCCTGTCACAGAGATTGAGGGTGATCTCTTTTACTGCTATTGTAGAAAGTTCAGAATGATTTATAGGTACATTAAAAGGAAAGACCTTTCCTGACTATTTTTTAGCCCCTGATATCTCCTGTTGAACCCTCTTTGTGATTTTAAGCCTATTTAAGAGAGACACATGTTAATGGTTTAAAGGAGAATAAAGGCCAGGTGCAGTGGCTCACGCCTGTAATCTCAGCACTTTGGGAGGCCGAGGTGGGCAGGTGGCATAAGCCCAGGAATTTAAGACCAGCATCGGCAACATGGCAAAACAATATCTCTACAAAAAATACAAAAAAAAAAAAATTAGCTGGGCATGGCGGTATGCACCTGTAGTCCCAGCTGCTTTGTGGCCAAGGTGGGAGTATTACCTGAGCCCATGAGTTCAAGGCTGCAGTGAGCCATGGTCATACCACTGCACTCCAGCTTGGGCAACAGAGTGAGACCCTGTCTTAAAAAAAAAAAAAAAAAGAAAGAAAAAAGAAAAAAAAAGAAAAGAAAAGGAAAGAAGAGGATGAACTGATAGGCTGCCAGTGTAGTTTAAAAAGATATTATAACAGAAACTATACCTAATGAGTTTTGTTATAGAATGTAAAGGGAAATAAGAAGGCCTCTATACTTGAAGGAAGAATTGTTGAAGTATTTTTACTAGATACACATTTATATAGCTCAATAAATGTAGTAAGACCATAATTTTGAATTTATTTATATCATTCAAGCAATCATTTGAATTTTAATCATTTTCTGCACAAACATATTGTCTGATATTCCCCAGTTGGACTGATTTTTGATAGTAAGGGAAATACTTGGGTACTTTATATGAATGAGAGAGAGAACGTTCAGGCACCACTGCGAGGCATGCACAGATTCAGCTTTGCACAAACAAACCTCTTTCCTTTGGTGCAATGATGGTAGGAAGAGTGTCCCAAAACGGATAATGTCAGAAATTGACAAGACTAACAAGAGCGAAGCAAGGACTTGTGTAAGAAAAAGGAAGAAAAAGAAAGACTTTCAGAATTTTATCTAAAGGATCATGTTGCAGAGAATGAAATATCCAATTTTTGCACCACATGGCACGGTAGAAACCTGGTCTCAAGAGAAACTGGGGCAGGTGTGTTAGCTTCCAGATATCAGGAATTTGAGTAGGTGACCACCTTTGGTCGGGGACAGTGCTCTGTCGTGGGAACATGCTCTGAGTCAAATTGCTTAAAAACTTATTTCTCAGAACCAACTGGCAAGTTAATAATATTTTAGATGGAATTTGACTTTAGAATTCTCCCAGGAAAATGAATGGCTTGACCAGAAATAAAAAAATAGAAGTTGAATACCTCATTTCTTAACTCCAAGGAATTGTATGAATATTGTGTCTTCTACTCCAATTATAGGTCTAACTGCCAAGCAAATATTTGAAAAAGAAACTTTTTTTTTTGTCCTTGGTATAACAAAATATAAGTAGGACAAAGTACCTTAGTGGAAAGAGGACAGAATTTTAATCTCATTCTCACATAAATTGGTGTGGTGACTTGGATATTTTGTAATTCCTTGTCTGTGTCACTTAATTTTATTAGCTACAAAATAAATTCATAAGAAATATAAAAATAAAAGAATTTCAGGCCAGGTGCAGTGACTCACCTGTAATCCCAGAAATTTGGGGTGCTGAGGCAGGAGGATCACCTGAAGTCAGGAGTTCGAGACCAGGCTGGCCAACATGGTAAAACCCTGTCTCTATTAAAAATACAAAAATTAGCTGGGTGTGGTGGTGCACACCTGTAATCCCAGCTACTTGGGAGGCTGAGGCAGGAGAATCACTTGAACCCAGGAGGCGGAGGTTGCAGTAAGCTGAGATTGCACCACTGCACTCCAGCTTGGGCAACAGAAGGAGACTCTGTTTCAAAAAAATAAAAAAAGAATTTTATATTGCAAACATGTCAACAAAAAAACTGAGTATGCAATATGTATATTTGCCTCAGTGGTCTTCGGAGACCTCAGGTGAAAGACCCAATTACAATCCTTCTTAATTTTCCTCCAACTGCATGGCATTTCTAAGTAAACTATCAGTCCCTTTTGGTTCTCACATTCTGTGATTTTGAGTTACGTGTCCTGTTGAGAGCTGTCTCTTACCTCCAGTGTTCTCTTCAATAGTTGTGCTTTGTAAGCACAACTGAACTACTGAACTGCAATTCAGTACCAGGCTCTCATTGATGCTATTCTGTTAGACCCGGCACTCCTGGAGTTATCTTTCCCACGAGGCTTACCATTCCACTTGCTTCAGGTTTCAGGATGCTGGATATGGGTTGGGCATTTTTTCAGTTAGGACGCTGAAATCTAGCCTACTTTTAGAAGGCTTTAGGGGAAAAAATATATCCCCCAAATAATAGAAATTCTTACTGAGCCAGAAGCAATTCAGGGGTCTCTGGCCCTTCCTCACTCTCTGGAAGAATCCTTGCTCCTAATAAGTGGGCAATAGATAACAAAACGTACAACTAGACTATCTACTACTTGAGGGCAGGTCACATATGTATTTCCTTATCTTTTTAATCTCATTACTTACCTTTTGCTTTTGCTGAAGGACCCATCATCCCAAAGGTCATAAAATGGGTCACATGTGATGTAACCCCATTATTCTTTTAGTTGCAAGAAACTACAATATGTAGTGTATGTATCCACTATTTTAAAGGAACAAATGTAAGACTCATTCTCTTTGCCATCTCAAACACAGCGTACTGGGTCAAGAATAATAGCTAGCTGGCCAGAGGTATCAAATGCAGAACTTTGAAGTTGAATCATGCCAATGGAATTTTCCTCTTTAGGAATGGAAACTCAGAACAGACTATGAGCTGTGGGCTGCCTGGCCCCCATTCAGTCATGGTTGATAACTAGTGACATAAAATCATTCATTAAAGAGATCATTAAAGAGGTTATTGGAAGGTAAGCAACAGAGTTTATTCACATTGGGAAAAAATTCCACAAAAGCATGTTTCCTGCTTGCATAGGGTTCACAGTCTGACCCAGAAGAAGGAAAACAACATAAAAATTACTCTGCAGTGTGACTGAGGCTAAGATCAAGGGACAGGTTGTCTGGGAGTATAAAGGTGGGACATCTTAATGAAGAGGGAGGAGTGGGATGGGGCTTATCTATAGTTTTAGAGAATTCCAGAGTGAGAAGCTGCTGTCCTGCACCCCGTTGTAGGCTATGTCTAAGAGGGTTTGCCTTTGTTGTATTTCTACACAATGCCAAATCACAACCATTGTTGGAGACTGCAGGAGAAGAGAAAAATATCCTTCTAACTCTTATTTCATTCATCAGAAATGAATGCAACTGCAGTGAATAATGAGGTTGTATCACATGTGACCTGCTTCATGGCCCCTGGAATGGAGGGTCCTTTAAGGAATGGAACAGTTGGAAGAAACTTTATAGATCACTTATTTCTACTCCCTCTTCATATGGAGAAATAAATGAGTTCAGGAAAATTAAATCATTTAGCTAAGGTCACATTATTAATTGACAGCTGGATGTGTAAGGCCAACCTGCAGTCCTAGGAAATGTTTTATAGTAGCGGCAGATACTACACATGGACAGGCAGCGGGATGTTGCTTTTAGACACAAGCAATCCTTGCAGATTATATGTGAGAGCAAATCTTCATGATGCATGTGCCTCTGCCATTGATTTATCTGGGAATTATCAAACTAATGGGTCAAGTCTGACAAAAGTAAAGTGTTGGTCTTAGTAGGGTAATGTTAAATAAGTGTGGAAGTCAAGTTTGCGTGGTGAATAATAGGGTATCTCTGAACAGTGACTTGGGACATCAGTGGTGCACATTAAATGATGTAACCAATTTATCTACTCACTAGGCCATAAGTAGCCTCCCCATCTATCATGGGATGATGGGTTCTGCTCTCTGATTTCATCTACTGCTCAGAATGATACTGACATCAAAGTAATCCTCTAACTTTTCACAAGAGACCTCTCCAAAAACTATTCAGCATTACTCATATATGAGCAAATACCCTATTCTTCTGGAAGAGACACGTCATTTAAAAATCTTAAACAGATTTTGGTGTAAAAATCAGAATTGCTGCTCTGGGTTGTATCTGAGTCTTTGATATTATTACTTGTGCAGAGAATGCATTTTTCATAAAATATCATAGAGATGGTTTTCTTCTGCACCTAGAATAACAGATAGCATGTGAGTTATAACTAATATAATAATCATACATGTATTTATATATGAGTATACGATACACTATAATATGCTTAGTCAAAATTTAACAAGAGATCTACCTAGAACATTGTTTCTGGATGACTGTGTCAGTTATTAAATATGGAAGAATTGACATTATTTCCCTTTACATCGATTTCATCTTTACCTTGCTTCTCCGTGTGATTTGTTTGTTTTTTGTTTGTTTGTTTGTTTGTTTTTGAGACAGAGTCTTGCTCTGTCACCCAGGCTGGAGTGCAGTGGCACCATCTTGGCTCACTGCAACCTCCGCCTCCTGGGTTCAAGCAATTCTTCTGCCTCAGCCTCCTGAGTAGCTGGGATTATAGGCACCCACCACCATGCCTGGCTAATTTTTGTATCTTTAGTAGAGATGGGGTTTCATCAGGTTGGTCAAGCTGGTCTTGAACTCTTGACCTTGTGATCTGCCCACCTTGGTCTCCCAAAGTGCTGGGATTACAGGAGTGAGCCACTGTGTCCAGCCTCCATGTGATTTTTATATCCTGTATAGCCTGTCAGTGCTCTCTTTGGGGATAGAGGGTACTTGACCAAAACAGGCTTGAGGAATAAATTAAGATAGGGTAATAATCCTAGGGAAGGTTTACAGAGAACATACAAATAGGATAAATAGAAGGGGATCCATAGGGGTGGAGAGAATAAAGGGGAGGGAGAGAGAGACAGGAGAAAAAGAGGGAGAAGAAGAGAGAGTTGGGAGGGGGGAAGAGAGAGAGTTTGTGCGTGTGTGAGAGAGAGGAGTGTGTGTGTGTGAGAGAGGAGTGTGTGTGTGTTTGTGTGTGAGAGAGATAGAGAGAGAGATAAAAGGAGGGAGTGAGGGAGAGTGGAAGAAAGAGAGAAAATATACAATTGGTAATATTTATTTTCTGCCACCCAATCCCCCATTGTAAGTCTTAGAAGTGATAAGAATTTTAATTTCCCGATACTGAGTTGCATAGAGAAGGTTAAAAACATTTTCCTCTAGGGACACTGACATTACTTTAACTTATTTTATTTGGGACAACTTTTAACTTAAATAATAACTGTTTGAATGTATAAGCCGAACAAAGATTCAAATTAAAGTGAGGGATACTAGTGTATAACAATGAGTTTACAGTCATTTTGTACCTAAAAAAAAAAATTCATCATTTCTGTGACTCTATAAGAGAAATAACTGCTATCAGCTTTTGAGAAATGCCAAAAATACACTCAACATATATTTGTTTCATGTTTATGCAATATCTTTCACAGATTTAGTAAAAATATTCTGCATTACAAAATCTGAGCATTTTAAGTATTAAATGTCAATCCAAACTTCCTGCCATTGCAACATGGGTACATTTCCTAGTCTTTTTAGCTTCTAGTCCATGATTTTTAATTGTCATTAATTCATTTGTTCAACAACAATATATTTACCTCTTATTTTTCTACTGTCTCCCATGTAATTTTCCAAGTACTGGCTGACTTCAAGGCAGACATTGTCCTTACCCTCAAAAAGTTTACAGTGTGAAAAGAAACAGGTTGCCCAAGTGTCTACTGTGCACAATATATTCTACAATGTACAAGAAATAAAATGAAATCACAAAATCACATAGTGGAGAGTTTAATGGTCATCTCTTTGAACCTCCCAATGGGAAAAATAGTATTGATCTTAGATTTTTGCTTTGTAAATGATAATTATGTTTCTGCTTAAATATATTCAGTAATAGATAGCTTGCTAATTCACTGCTGACCTATTTGTTTCTAATTCAGTTCTTCTGGTTAGAAGGTGGTTTGTTATAGATGGTTATAGCACACGGCTGTTTGCCCAAATAGCCATTCTCTTGCAATCTTGCAGGAATAAAGATTTAACTGACACATCACCACAAGGCTGAAGATATATTTCGTAGTGAGCAAGGCTGACCATGTGACTAAGTTGGCCATGTGACTACTAAGGCATGTGGATGGAGAATAAGTGATGTGCACCACATTCATGACTTGCCATTAAAACAATTGAGTGTGCGTTGTCTCGTCAAATTTTTCCTTACTGCTGGCTAGAGATGTCTGGGACTAAAGGAGCTATCTGACTCTGAGATTAAAGCCACATACTCAAAGTGGCAGGGCTATTCCATCAGTCCTGGAGTCTTTACTTTGGGATGGTAGAGAAATAAGCTTCAGTCTTGTTCAGTCTACTCTGTTTTAGGATGCCTTTGTTATAGCCATTTAGCTTGTACTCCAACTAATCTTACAATTAGTTGTAATTGTATAAAGAGACTTATTTCCTTTCATTGGACAGTCTTTTAAAGTTTTGTAACAGTTATAAAATCTCCTATTTATTTAAAGCCTTTAACAAGTATTTATCGGATGCCCACTACTGCAGGGCTCCATGCGTACAACAGTAAAGAATTCTATCCCTGCCTCCCAAGGGCATAAAGACTTTAGAATAGGTGAGTCCATATCGAGGATGAGGTTTGTGCAGTAGGAGGGCAGGGAGGCAGTTATATAAACAAAATGTTCCAATTCAATATAATAAACCATAAAGATAGAGTAATCTAAGACTGGTATTGAAAATCAGATATAGTTCCCTTATTCTAAGCAGTACATACAGCCTAAGAAGAATTTTTCCAAATGAAACATTTCTGGGTCTATATATCGTAGCTGATATGCAACTGTTTCTGACCTTACACTATTCACATCTTCCTTTGGATCCATTGTATTGGCCTTTATCAAAAGAATCATGAATGCTATCACGTGAAGGACTTTTATGTTCCATTTGGGTTCCTTGTGACTCTCTGAAGCAAATGCTACCCTTTTGATTTTTCACAAATCAGAGAATATAGAAATTAAATATTTGCCTCCTGACCAACACTTGTGTATTCAGCCCTTCTGAACAGGAAATACTGCAAGTGGGTCCCTGCAGGAGGAAAATGATTTCACTGTGATCCTTAAACATTTTCAGATGGCAAGACGTTGATTTCCATGAAACATTATTTTTACTTTCTCCCAGGTAGTGGTAAAATATGTGGGCTTTGTAGTCAGACAAAATTGGCTTCAAATTTGGACTGTTAGACTGAATAACTGTGTAAACTTGACATGTCTCTTAATCTTTTAAAGCCCTGGTTCCCTCATTTGAAGAAGAGGTTGAGGCAATGGCCTAGTTTGCATCCTCTGGGAAACAGATGCCAGGTGTAATTGGATATGAAATGAAGGTATTAATGGGAACATCTGTAAAGGTTACAGATATGGGGCCTTTATGCTAAGCAGAGGGGACAGCCTAAGAAAGATTATCCAAATGAACCATTTCTAGATCTATCTATCATAGCTCATCATGCAAGTGTTTCTGGTCTTACAGTCTTCATTTCTTCCTTTGGATCCATGATATTGGTCTTGATCAACAGAATCATAAATGCTATCAGATAAATGATTTTTAAGGGATAGAGATCACAGAAGTGAGTGAAGAAGGATTTCAGACTATGATGCAGACATGGGGAGCAGTAGGAAGGAGGAGGGATGAGATAAGAAGAGCCTCAGACTGCAGTGCAACTCAGAGAAAGGCTCATCTAGGCTGGTGAGAACCCCAGAGCACATATGGCCCAGCAAGGGAGCTCAGTGGTGGGCAGGAATGGCCAGGGTCTTGTACCCCTGCTATGGTCTTTGGCAGGGAGCTGCTTGGGGGGACCCGACTTCAATGTGAAGGTCAAGGCTATCAGCCAACACGTTCCTTGCAACGGGCTTTCTCCTGAAGGAATATCTGAACAGCATACTGCATGGCTTCTACATGTGAGGGTTCAATTAATGCTGTCATATAGTTAAAGTTCTAGGATATTCTCTGACATGTAAAAAGTTTGAGTATCTCTTTTCTAGGATTCTTGTTTTTATTATATTTGAGGAGCAGATATCAATTAAAGAACTACTATGGGAAGACAGAAAGCTATAGAAGCATGATACACAGTCCCTGGCTTCAAGAAACTTAGGTATTTTTAGAAAATGAAAAGTGATGTGAACAATTAAAAGCTATAAGATTAGCAGTTACTGGCAGAAATATGTATGTTGGACATGATGATGACAGAAACATTCACAAACAATAGAGAGTTAAGACGCAATGGAAACACAGTAGGCTCATACATGGAAATCCAAAATTATGAGACAAGTTGGGCAGTAACAGCTAGACTAGGACTTTTGGCAATGGTGGAGTTGTTCTTTCCCCCCTTTAAATACATTTAATATGGGTAAATTATGACCACATTGATTTAAAATATGTAGCCAAGAAATAAGAAAAGGCAAAGACGATTGAAGAAAGAACTCAAATACAATGTAATAAGCTTCAGTTGATGCTGTGTTGGTCTAATATTATGCAGGATTTAGATGCAAGATGAAGGAGATGGTGGCTGGGGTGTTGCTACAAAATCCTTAAGGTCTTAGAAGATAGAGAGCTATAACTAAGCACTTCACAAAACCTCAAACATTTTACTTGGCCATGAAAAACAAGCTAGAAACATCTCCCATTAACCCAGAGAAGCAGTAACAAGGATTGCTATGTGCCTTGGGATTTACACAAAAAATAAAAATGAATAAATCATTTTACAGATTGACTCCATGCCAGTTGCAACCCCAAGCCAATACCATCATCAGATATGCAAACAGTATTTATAATGCCCTCTTGATATTCACATTGGCATGGAAATCCCAGGTCAAACAGTTAACATACTACCAAGTTTAAAACAGCCATATGTAAAGCCACATCAGGAAGAAACCAAAATAATTTGAAGAGATACATAACCTAGAGCATGTGGAACACACAAACAAAAAAATAACGCCTATGGAAGATAAGCTTATAAGAAAATTACAAACCAAGTTAGAAAAACATCGACCAGGAAGGGCAGTGAGTAGACATAATACATGAGAGATTTTTAACCCTAAGATCTAGCAATAACAAAATATCTGAAAGAGTATAAAAATGTTTATGTTTGCCAGAGAGCTCTAATAAACCATAATGAGGCCATCATGAAACAATGAGAAATAGTCATATATGAAAAAGCACCAAAGAGAGCTTCAAGAAATGGAAAGCAGTCATTGAAGTTTTAAAGTGAATGTATTACTTTAAAAGCAGATTGACATAGCTGAAGAAAATGTTAATGAGCTTGGAGACAGACATAAATCACTGAGAATAGGCATAGAACTATAAAGGGATAGAAAATATATGAATGTGGTTAAGAAATTAAGAAACAGGCAGTGGTTATAAAGAACTTACTCATGTTACCAAATACCACCTGTTCCCCAAAAACCCATAGAAATAAAAAAAAATATTTTTAAAAACCCAGGCAGGATAAAATAAGAAGGCTAAGTGTTTGTTCTGAGGGATTGAACAGAAAGAATATAATTAACATTAGAAGGGATGAGATTTTTTCCAGAACCAAATCCAGCTAAAATATTTTTAATTCAATACAAAAATATAGACTTCTTACCGATATGCATTCAAATATTAGAAAACCATATAATGTAATTCATCACATTAATAGGCCAAATGGAAAATATTTGAGCATATTAACAGATACAGAAAGATCATTTGATAAAATAGTCAATTCATGAGAATCAGAATCTTCGTATAATAGAATAAACTGGAACTGCCTTACCCTGATAGTAGAATACATCAAAATAATCCTGAACTGTGAAACATCACAAGTCATCAGATCAAATGAATATAGAAATAAGGTAAAAATGATTCCTATCAGTACACTGATTCAACGTTGTGCTGAAGGTTTTCAGATAGAACAATTAAAGAAAACAGTAAAGGATATAAAAAGGTGAAGGATGAACAATCTAATTTGTTATTCACATAGAATTGTCTAGAAAGAAAATCCAAAAGAATATATGTAAAATACAGAAGATGTAATAAGGGTTTAGAAGGCTTGCTGGGTAAAGATCAGCCTATGCCGATCAGTAGTGTTCTAATATATCAACACAACCAATTTAACAATTGAGTTTAAGGAATATCCTTCCCAATTACAACAAAACCCACAGGGCATATATCTAACCTAAATATTCCAGATGTTTAAAAATAAGACTCAAAACATTATGTTTAAGGCTATAAAGATTCTGTATCACAAATATGTTGATTCTCTCAAAATATAAACTAATATTAAATAGCTTTACTTATCTGGAACTTAAAAAAAAAACTGATTCTAAAATGTATGTGACCCATAAGAAAGCAAGGCTTCTGATGACTTGCCCGACATTTGATTTACTGTAAATCTGTGATTATTAGAATAGTTTGGCATTGCCCCAGAGATAGGTTAATAGACTACTGAAATAGAATAGCTGAAAAACAGATCCAAACATACAAGGTAACTTGACATGTGACTGCATTGGACATTAATCTTGTTTGCCTTCTCAGAATTCCTGGACCTTTTCCTTTTTTCTGTCTTGATGGGCCAATTGACACCCTCACCCCACCTGTTTGCCCTTTTTTGAATGGGGATGAAACCTACCACAGAGCATGGAATCTGGCTTCCCGAGACATTGCTAACAGGCTGGGATGTAACCCAGATGTTTAAGGGAAGTTAGCCCTGTGTGGTATGGACATCGACCCATGGCCCAACAGGAGAAAGGAAGTACACAGGCATGTATTCTTCCTCTCCCTCTCTCCTGCAGACAAGTCTAAGGGGTCTATTTTCAGTCTTGCCAGGGAAGTCGGAGTGAACTCTGTCTCAGAGTTTACTGGGAAACAGCATTAGCCTGAATGACAATGCGCTCTATGGCTTGCTTCCCACTTTCCTTACCCCACTACCCTTTCTTTCTCACTCTATCTTGGCTTGCACTTTGCAAATAAAGTGTTAGCTCCTTAATCCTGGCCCAGTCTTTGCTTTCTAGAGAGTCTAAACTAAGGAGCTACAGATAGTATCACAATAGAGCCTTTAAGAGAAAAATAATCAATAAATGTGCTTTCAGGAAAAGTCAATCCTTCTTTTATACCAGACCAAAACAAGTTCTAAATGGTTTAGGATTATTTAAAACCAACATGTAAGCTGAAGAAGAAAATGTATTTTATTAAATCAGGTTAAGCAGTATTTCTTAAATGTGTCACAAAAGGCAAAAAAAAGAGACACGTTTGAAACCATTAACTATATAGGTGAACATAGATACACAGGTAGAGACAGAAAATTTTTGATCAAGGAAGGACTAGACAAAGGACTACTAAAACATGGGATTTATAAAGAACTTCTCTAACTCAAATGAAGCAAATAAGTGACAGCTTGGAGGGTCAGCCTTGGAAATATCGAGAAGAGGCCAGATTCTGCTTGTGCTCCGAAGAAGAATCAACAGGGTATCCTAAAGGATGGATATGGGGTGCAAAATAGAGAAGTCAAAGATGACTGTGAGGTTTTTTTTTTTTTGGCCTGAGTAATTGAAAAATTGAGTTCCTGTCAACTGATTCAGAAGGCTCTCAGAGGAGCAAATGTATGGACGATCAAGACTACAGGTTTGGACATGTCAATTTGCAGATGTCCATTAACAATCTAAGAGGAGATGTCAAGTAGACAACTGGAAATATGTGTCGGAACTACTCTGGCGAGGTCCTGGTTGCACCTGTCCATCTGATGCTGGTTAAATGCTTGGTATTTAAAAGCATGCAGTGAGATGAGCTCCCCAAAGACATGAGTGTACACACAGCAGACAAAAGATAAAGTCAAGGACTGGGCACTACGATACTCCAACTCTCAGAGGCAGGGAACAAGAGGAAAAAACAGAGTATGGCATCTCAGAAGCTAGGTTACAAAAGCATGTCAGAAGGAAGTGATAGGTTATGTCAAATACTGGCGACTTATTAAGAAAAACAAAGAGTGATATATATGACTCCTGGATTTAGCAGCATGGAAATTGTCAGTCATGTTGGGAACAACACTTTTAAGACTGTAAATCTTGAAACTAGATAATATCCTCATCTTTTTAAAAAGTTGTTTGGTTTATTTAAGTCTTTTGTGTTCTCCTGTGAGTATTAGCAAAAGCTTGCCAATTTGGATTTTTATTGGCATTCCAATTAATTTATACATCAATGCGGAGGGAGTTGACATCTAAACAACACTGAGCTTTTCAATCAATAAGCATGATATATTTATCGGTTTATTTATATCTTCAGTTTTCTTTAGTAATGCTTTGTGATTTTAAATATACAGGTCTTACTCATATTTTGACATATGTTTCTCAAAATACTTCATATTTTCGAGCTATAAGTGGTAACATTTTATGCAATACGAATTTTATTTTCAAAATAAATTATCACTTAAAATAATTCATGGATTTTTTTCATGCAAAGAGAGGAACACATCCCTTTAAAATAAATTTCTAATAGTACATTATTTTAATATTTTGGTAAAAATACTTGAGATCCACTCTTATATGTGATAATGTTTTTAAATTCCATTTCCAGTTGTCCATTACTGTTATACAAAATGCAATTGGATTTTGTATATTGACCTTGAATCCTATAATCATTTATACCCACTAATTTGTTCCAGTTTTATTTTCCTAGGTTCATAGGATTTTCTACATAAACAACCAAATGTCTATTAGAAAAGACAAGTTTACTTGCTCCTTTACAATCTGAAATGTCTTTTCTTTCTTCTTCTTGCCTTACAGAACATACTAGAACATACTAGAACTATACTATACTAGTATAGAACGTACTAGAAACTGACTGCAATGCTGAATAGAAGTGGTGAGAGTAGACATCTCTTCCTTGTTCCTGGTTCTAGGAGGAAAGCCTTGACTCTTTAGCCATTAAGGGTGTTGTTTGCTGTTAGCCATGGGTTTCTTATGGATGTGTTTTATCAGGTTAAGAAAGTTTCCTTCTATTCCTGGTTTGCTCACAGGTTTTACTAGGAATTAATGTTGTATTTTATCCAATGCTTTTACTGTTCCATTCAAGACACTCAAGTGCTTTTTTAGTCTCTGATTACGAATCATTATATTGATTTTTAAATGTTAAACAAACCGGTACTTCTGGAATAAACCATAGTCATTAATAATGTATTACTGTTTATATATTATTGAGTTTTATTTGCACAAATTTATTTACTTATTTTTTCTACATATGTTCACGAGGAATATCGCGTGTAATTTTTCTTTTTCTCAGGATGTCTTGTCTCGTTTTGGTCTCAGAGACATACAGACATCACAGAATGAGTTGGGAAGTATTACCTCCTCTTCAATTTTCTAGAAGAATTTTTGCAAAGTTGATATTATTTCTTTTTGAAAGTTTGTTGGCAGTTATCTTGTTGGAACTGATGCCCTCCAGGCCTGGAGTTTTTGCTGTGGGAAGGTTTTTAAAAACAATTCAACTTCTTCAGAAAAGCAAAGCTAATCAGGTTAGTTATTTTTTCCCTTCAGTGAGTAGTTCCCATCTTTCAAGGAAATTGTTTATTTCAACTAAGTTGGCAAATTTATTGGCATAAAAGTATTCACAATATTTCTTATCAGCCTGTTAATCTCTATGGAAGCCTTTGTCAAGTTCTCTATCTAATTCTTAATATTTGTAATTTGTGTTTCCTCCTTTATTGCCTTGATTCATCTGGCAAAAGGATTGTTGATTTTGAATTTTCCAAATAACCAGGTTTTTATTGATTGTTTTTATTTTCTGTTTTCCCATTGATTTTTTCTGTGATTTTTATTGTTTCCATTCTCTTGATCATTTTGAAGTTCATTTTTTTCTTTATTTTTTAATTTATTAAGGTAGAAATTGAAGTTGTTGATTTGAGACCCCTTTTATTCCCCCTAATGTAGGCCCTTAAGGTTATAAATTTCCATCTAAGCACTTCTGTGGCTGCATCCCGCAGATTTGGTTTCATTTTCATTTTGTAATCATTCAGTTCAAGATACGTACTTTTTCATTTTCTTTTCCATTGCCTCTTTGACCTAGGTGATATATGGATGTATGTTATTTATTTGTGGTATTCAAGGATTTTCTAAATATCTTTTAGTTTTTTTATTTCTACTGTAACTATACTGTAATCACAGGACATGCTTTTTATGATTTGAATCCTTTTAAGTTGGAGATTTACATTATGGTCCAGAAAATGGTTGATCATTATAAATATTTCTTACACTCCCAGGGAAAAAAAAAGTGTAGTCCAACTTTGTTAGTCAGAGTCTTCCATGAACGTCAGTTAGGTTAAGCTGGTGGATACAATGTTGTTCAAGTCTCCTCTGCCCTTACTGATTTGGCGTTTACTTGTTCTAACAATTATTAAAAGAGAAGTATGGCTTTATCTACTTCTCCCTGGTGTTCTATCATTTCTTGCATCATATGCTTTGACCTGTTATTATCCAGTTCTTATAAGTTTAGAGTTACTATTTCTTCTTGGCAAATTGATACTTCTGTCGTTACTACAAAATCCTCTTTTTTCCTAGTAAAAGAGAATCATTACCTTTTGCTGTGAAATCTACTTTTTCTGATATTTATACAGCCAGGTCAACTTCTTTTGAGAAGCTGGTACTGTAGTATTTGTTTTCTATTTTTACTTTTATTCTATGTGTGCTTTTATATTTAAAGTGAGTTTCCAATTAGCAAAATATAGTTGGGTCTTCATTTTTAAAGTTGTAAATTTCTGACTTTTCATTGAGATCTTGAGACTTTTACCTTTAATGTGATTGTTGCTCTCCTTGGACTAAATCTTCTCCCTTGTTCTTTGATTTCCATTTGTTCCATATGTCCTTTGTTTCCTTTTGTCTTTTTTTTTTTTGCCTTATTTTAGATAATTTGATTATTTTTTATAAGGCCTTTTTATCTCCTTTGTTTTCTTGTTACCTCTAACTCATTTTTTGTATCCTTTTAATCATTGCTTTACGGTACATAGTGTGCACCTTTGACTTATGAAAGTCTATCTAAAAAGATATTATACCATGTCACATACAGTATAAAAACTTCTCAACTTCATACTTCTATCTCTCCAAACCTAACTTTTGTGCCATTGCCGTCCTACACTTGACTTTTACAGAGGCTTCTTGACTTACAACAGGGTTACATCCCAATAAAATCATAAGTCAAAAATGTTGTAAGTTGAAGATGCATTTAACACTGGCAACACAGCAGATGTTCCCTGACTTACCATGGTCCGCTTTATTTTTTATTTACTTATTTATTTTTTTGAGAGACAGTCTCACTCTGTCACCCAGGCTGGAGTGCAGTGGCGCAATCTCGGCTCACTGAAACCTCTGCCTCCCGGGTTCAAGTGATTCTCCTGCCTCACTATGGTCCACTTTAAAATTTGTAAACTTCATGATGATGCAAAAGCAATACATGTTCAGTAGAAACCATAACCCCATTGTAAGTCATAAGGAGCTCCTCAAATTATGATGGGTTTACCTCTTTATAAGCCCATCTTAAAGTAAAAAATTTTCAAGTCAAACCATGCTCAGTCAGAAATCATCTGCACATATTGTCTAAACCTCAGAGTACATTGTTATTATTTTTGCTTTAAACGGTCAATTTTCTCTTTAAGGCATTTATTTAATAAGAAAAACATCTTTCATATTTACCATTTCCGGTTCTTCATGTTCTTTATGTAAATTTGTATTTCCCTCTGGTATCATTTTCCCTCTGCCTAAAGGAATTCCTTTAATATTTCTTATAATTTGGTCTGCTGGTGATTCATTCTTTCAACTTTTCTATGTCTGAAAAAGCTTGTGTTTCATCTTCATTTCTGAAAAAAACTTTTTTCTGGATATAGAATTCTAGGCTATTTCTTTTAGTACTTTAATGATGTTTTCTACTTTTTTCTTATTTGTATTGTTTCCAGTGAAAACCTTCTCTCACCTTTTTCTTTGTTTTTATGAATGTCATGTATCTGTTGTCTCTTGCTGCTTTTAAGTTTGCCTTTCACCACTAGCTTTTTACCACTGATTCATAATAATTTGGTTATGAAATGCCTTACTGTAGTTTCTAAAACTTGAAGTTTGTTGAACTTTTGTATCAGTGACATCATATATACACACACACACGTATATATATACACACACACATACTGTTGTGTCCCTCCTACTCTGCATTTTTATAACCTTATGATTTCAAATACAGAGTTAGCCCTGAAATATAGTAAAACAATTTTCATATCTTCTTCCATGAGGTCTCCGAAACCTCTAATAGCCTGATGTGTATTTGTCATCTTTTATAAAAAGTGGCCTCTCGGCTGGGCGTGGTGGCTCATGCCTGTAATCCCAGCACTTTCGGAGGCCAAGGCGGGCAAATCACAAAGTCAGGAGTTCGAGACCAGCCCGGCCAACACGGTGAAACCCCGTCTCTACTAAAAATACAAAAAAATTAACCAGGTGTAGTGGCAGGCACCTGTAATCCCAGCTACTCGGGAAGCTGAGGCAGGAGAATTGCTTGAACCCAGGAGGCAGAAGTTGCAGTGAGCTGAGATCGTGCCACTGCACTCTAGCCTGGGCGACAGAGCGAGACTCCCTCTCAAAAACAAACAAAAAAAAGTGGCCTCTCTGAATAACAATTAATCCTTCAGTTCCATCATTTTTACCTCTCCCCATGTCAAAATTTGGAATATTCCAAAGGGATATTTTACAGGACAGATGCAATGACTATCTTGCTAATAAAACCATTTCATGTAAACTTTTGTTGTTAGCTGAAAATGGTTTCATACTTTACACCTTGGTGCAACATTTGTAAATGAGAATGGGACTCCTGGAGACACCATTGTAGGAAGTTTTATTTCCATAAACTATCATAAATAAGATAATCCTAAGAATAGGATTATCAGGCACAAAGCATAGCTGAAGGAGAATATATCCATACATAGAAATTCTTTTACAATATAAGCAAATATCTAGGTCCTTGTATAAGGTCAGCTCTGTACAGCATAATTGAATTATTTTAAAGTCTTCAGGACAGACCACTAAAGAAGTGAAAACTCATTGAATGCCACTAGTTTAAGTCTTTGTTTTTATTTGCGAATGGACATTGGGGTAGGGCAGGGTAAGAATGCCTGGCAAAAGTTTGTGGAAAATGCTCAATGATTCTCCATGTTTACCTTTAATGAAACTACCTTGAGCAGCTCAATAATCATCATTTTAGGTTCCCAATCCCCTGAAAAAGGATGCATTCCATTCCCCTGTGTTGCATCATCTTCTTCTCTTATGACCCTATTAACAATGACAGCTAATTAAACCTATCATCTCTTAAAATAATAAGCACCCTCAAGTCTACTATATTATCTCTAGGAATCGATAGACCAAAAGGTTTAGTGGAATGCATTGTTTTTCTAGGTGAACAAACACAAAGTTTCAGGAATATTTTCTCCTACTGAAAATAAACAGGCTGTCACCACTCACTCATATTTTAAAAATGTCATCCCAGATTCTTAGATGATAATTCCATGCTTTTTTTCCCCTTGAGCTTGTAATAACGAGTCTATAAAATGTAGCCTATTGCCTCACATATGTACTTTGAGGCTAAATTATATCATAATCACACCATAATAAAGCTTTATAAGCAGCTCTCTTGGGAAGTTAGACTGAACTCTTAAGTCAGATTTCTCAAGTTGCAGAATAATTATCTTGTGTAGTTAAATGGTATAACCAGTATTCACAGACCACATTCATAGAAAAATGACATTAAGTGTCCCTTTCCTATGCTTTCGTCTCATGAAATTCTTTCATCCTTTTCTCTTAATTTGGGTATTTTTCCCTCCAGATGTCTGGTGATCTCTGTTGTATGATAGTCCCTACAACTTGAGGTTTTAGAATTTAGATATGTTTTCTGCATCTAAAGTTTTTCTGTTTCTAAAATTTTCTGTAAGTTTTCCAGTTAATTCATCTTATAATTGCTCAGTTTGGGCTTTGCTTAAATATACATTTAAGGGTTATATGTCTTGGCCATTCAACCCATCATATAATTGCCCAGTTTGGGCCTCACTTAAATATGTACTTAATCTCAAAAGAGTGGATGGCACCAGGCTCAGCAAACTGTTTTTACAGTGTTCTGGACTAACTGAGAATGACTGTGTTTCTAGTCATTATTATGATTATTACCATTTACTCAGTAATAACTATGTCATGGTGATATATACTTTATGATAATACTTCATTTGATTTTCAAAAGAACATGGGTTAGGCACTATTATTCTGCACTAATATAAGCAAATTAAAGTGTTTACAACTGCAGGAACTCCTCTAGGACTGTTAGATTCAAATGCAATGCTCCTGGGGTAATGGACCATGTTACTTCTGGCCAGACCTGCTTCCACAAATCTACTTAACAATAATTCATGAAGTAGAATCAAGAAGAAGCTGCTCCAGTATAGTTTAATAGTTTCCACCAACTTCTGGAGTCATGCAGTCAGAAAGAGATGCTGTCTTCCAAATCTGTGTTAAGGCTTCAGAAAATTTCCAGAGTGATACATTGTGAAATTTTTGTCTTTTAAGAGTCATAAGCAGAACAATGGGTCCATGTATCTATAAAATTACGATGATTCATTATTCAGTGGGGGGAAAAGCCTTAGAAGACATTTTGTAATTGATTAGTATATGATTCATTTTAAGCTAACTTGGCCCCCAAACACTTTCAAACTACTCTGGCAGCTTACAAAGAGATTTGATATCAAAGGGTGGACTAAACAGGCATGGGGAAGATAAACATAAAGACAATTAATCATGAAATGCTGAGCATGAGTAACAGCAACATATTAGGCCCAAATATTCTTTATAGTATTGGAAGACCTTAAAAAAATGCATTGAGACAGACTGTGAAACAGTGACTTTATGTAGAGTTTATAAGATGGAGTCACATCTTTGTCACTATCTTTGCCTGCTTGTTTCAAATGATGGATCACACACACACACACACGCACACACACACACACACATAATCTCCAAGCAAGTAATTCTCACCTGACGGTGATAAGAACACTTTGTAGGAAGAATATGTTTTTTATAGGTGTTCTTAGAGTTAAATATTTTTGAGAGAAAGTGGGGGAAAATAAGAACAAATGAAAGAAAATGTTAGCTGATGGAGAAGAGAGTGCAAAGAAATTTAAATGTGAGTAGCATCTTTGCTCCCCACCCCCAAAAAAGAAAGAAAGTAACTGTCACCCTGTATGGTATGCAGAAATCCTCCAACAACTTGCAGAGAATGAAGAATAGTTGCTTCTGGATCAATGCACAGTCATTTAATGGGTCTATCAAGCTGACAGTGGGAGTACCAAACCTGATACACATGAATGCCCAAGAAGAGTGTCTCTGGATGTCAGCCTTCTGTATGTCAATGAAACAGGACTACAGGGGTATCAAAGCATGCTCACAGACCACTAGTAAGCTTGTTTCTGCTACAATAACAGACCCAAAAGCTAACGACAGTCTACTCTTTAAAATTTGGACTGTGGTAGTAGTGACCTTTAAGGCACTGACCCACACCTACTGGGCATAGCAGGCAAAATAATTGAGCTGAAACACAAGAGGAGCTTGCATTGCATTTGACAAGAAGGTAGCATTTGTTCAAGTGGTCACAATTATTTAACTTTGGGCTTGTTTTTGTGTACCTGCTCTCTGCCAGCTGGCATGAATGTGTCACGATGTCCATTAGGCATCTGTGGAATGGTCAGTCATCTTCATAATGAAGTCCTGCAAAGGGTCAGGATGCCCATGGTGCTAATTTTTATAGGTATCAGCTAAATGCTTTAAGTTCTATTGTTTACAACAAACATAGAATATTTACTCTATGGAATTCTTTAAATGGTTTCAATTTAAACAATTCCATAAAGTATTCTATGAATACTGTAAATCATATACTGATCAATTTATATAAATATCTTTATATAAACAGTTCCTTATATTGTTTATATAAAACAATCTTTTTGTATAGTAGTTAAAAAGAAACATATTACCTGATAATAACAGTCCGTGATGTTAGGAAAATACTTTATATGTTAAAGGCATGGAATGAATGGATCTTCATCTTTATATCCTTCTTAGTTACTCAATAACTAATATATTGCACTTTAAATCACAGACCAAACATCGCATTCAGTTATCCTATAGCACTGAAAAATATCTACAGATCAAACTACTTCCTCTGAATTATAATAGGTTCCCATATAAAAAACATGTTGTAGCACAGTCCATCAACAAAATGATTCTTTTACATTCCCAACTTACAGTGGGATTACATCCCAATAAACCCATCATAAGTCAAAAATATTGTAAATTTAAGATGCATTTAATGCTGACAACACAGCAGATTCCCTGATTTACCACATTCACATTGTGAGAGGTTAATTATTCTCTGGAAGGGTTTGATTACCAATGCTAAAATACTATTTATATATCTGAACTTTTGATCAACAAATATTCACACAGTTTGGCAATGATCTTGCCAGTGTCAGTAATATACTGTCAGTGACAAAAGAAAACTGAAATAAATTCTCAGGCTGTAGAGGGCTTGGGAAATGTGTCTGGTTCTTCCTGTGTTTTAGTCACATGTGTTCCTGCACAGTGTTTAAACTCTCTGGAAAGCATCACTGAAATACTGAATTACATCATCCGTGCTAGTGATTTGAGTGGAAATACCTCACTCTTTAGCAGATGGCATTGTCTTTGTTTCCCACCCACTATGTGAACCACTTGATCTTTCTTTGCCTGTCTCTTTCTTTGACAAATATATAAGAGATGACAGGATCCATAAAAATAGCCACACTTGTATGCATATAATCCCACTTCTGAGAATTTTAGGAAAACAGATCAGCCTAAGCAAAACCTAATTTGTATGAACATACTTATGTACTTATATAATGAAAACACACACACATACACACTCATGCACCCTTGTTCTAGGCACATATATATATACACACACACATATATATATACACATATATATACACACACACTTATAAATGTAATATCCAATAATAGGGAAATGTATTTATTCAGTTAAGATATACAAACCAGGTACACTATTAAATATCTATTAAAATTATTCTCATGCAGACTATAGAAATTGGAAGGTTGATTCCATTTTAAGTAAAAGCAGAAGGTGAAGTGTTATGCATAATACCGATGAAAAACATGTGCCTCATTTTTAAATTTACAACTGTTACACAGGCTCTGAATCCAGGCTACTTAGATGTCAATTCTGGGTCTAAAATTTCCTCTCTGCAGGTTCTTAGACAAATCACCTATCCTTCCAGGGCTTCATTGTCCTCAGCTGTAAGCAAGGAGCCAGTACTACACAGTATTATACTTTGTTACAAGAGTTAAAGATGATGCTACCTGTAAAGCACTTCATGGAATAATGGTCATAAAGCCAACTCATAATCAACCTGTACTTACTACCTTTTTCATTAGTCAGTAGAAGAGTTGCTCTCCCATACCTCGCTGACATGCCATAAGAGTACATCAAAAGGAAAGAATGAGCTTGAATTCTGAGTAGGAAAGTTGCTGGACGCATGATGACTATCATTCTCAGAGTGGGATTCATGGCTTTGACGAAGGAGATTTCTTTTCACAGGTCCATATTACTTAACATAAATGAGATTAAACAATCCAATGCAATAGTATATCTGAGCAAAAGAAATAATCAATTCATATCATTAAGAAAAGAATATGTCCCCCATATACACAGTTGACTTGTACAATGCTAGCATCAATAAGAGAATTTAGGTGGAAAATACTATGAGTATTAACTCAAATATAAAAGTGTTATCTGACTTTTGCTGAGTGTCCACTATAAACAAATACGAATGGTCTCCCTCCTCTTGAAAAGCCACATGGTTTTAAAGGTTAGTTAAGCATGACAAAGAGAAAATGTCTAAGTTTGGGAGGCTTCCAAGAGATGCCAATAAATCTCCACATCTGCTCTATTATCTCAATTGCACTAAGAAACATTATCTCGATTAGTTAATTAACTTTAAGAACAAACCAAATTAGTTTAAAATGCAATTTAAATGCAAGCCCATAAATTGTAAGTAAAACTGCATGCTGTTGTTATAAAATTTTCAAAATATTTAGGGAGAGTGGACTAGATTTCAAAAGACACATGTTTCATGGGAGACTGATAAATAGATGCACATTTATTCCAATGGTGAAATTTAAAATATTTTAATTAGCTCTATAGTCACAGTGATTTAGAAATCTAAATAAGAAAATAGTATGTACTCATCGTAGATCATTAACATAAGATTTCCTCTTTTATGTCTCAAAAGTCAATAAAGTTTGCTTTCCTAATGGCGAGCTCATTCACTGACAGATTAATAAACATTAAATGTAAATGAGGAATTCAAGAGTCTCAAAAACTGCTTACAGCACCGGTTTACAAATTCCTGCAAAGCTACTGATACTGTGTTACTCTAGCATCATTATCAATATCAATATTTAGCATTCATCAATAGCACTTTTAATGTTAAAATTTCTTTAGTCTTGAATTTACGTATTGGTATGGAACAGGGGCTTATTTAAATGTACTTCTTTTTTCTTTTTTTTTTTTTTTTTTTGAGATGGAGTCTTGCTCTGTCACCCAGCCTGGAGTGTGGTCGTGCGATGTAAGCTGACTGCAACTCCACCTCCTGGGTTCAAGTGATTCTCCTCTCTCAGCCTCTCGAGTAGCTGGGATTACAGGCATGCACCACCATGTCCAGCTAATTCTTGTATTTTTATTAGAGACAGGGTTTCACCATCTTGGCCAGGCTAGTCTTGAACTGCTGACCTCAAGTGATCCACCTACCTTGGCCTCCCAAAGTGCTAGGATTACAGGAGTGAGCCACCACGCCCAGCCTAGTGAATTTCTTAATTATAAATCAAATTAATGGCTTTATTCTCATTAGTCATCTGTCATTATCAAGCAAATGCCTCATTAATCAAAAGAAACCTAGAAAAGTAGGCTCAAAATTTATTTTTTCTTAGGGGGTGGATATAATTTCAGAAGATGGGAATATTTTTTAAAAGTGCCTAGATGCAATGCTTATAATTTTAGGTAAGGCATGAACTACCTTGGATTCTTTCAACAATACAATACTCTAGTAGACCAAGCTTTTTGATTGACCTTGTCGTGTTGGAGAGTGGAAGGGGCATCTAAGGGATTTGGGGTACTGATGGAATTTGATATTTAAAAATGATTTATTTTAACAAAATGTTCTTTCTGATATCTTTGTTCAATCTCTTTCTTTTGCTACATAAATCTGTTTTTTTTTCCTACTTCTGTCATCAACATCATTAGAGAACAGATGGAGATCAATGTATTCAACTTAGACTTGAAGGCATGTATTAAGCTATCACTCAGATTTCCTCCTTTAGATAAAATTTCTCTACTTTTAATAGATAAGTGATAAGCTTTCTAAGAGGCTGAAAGTGATGAAATTCAGTTTAGATCTCTGAAACTTCTGGTTAATTCCCTTTTCAAATTTTCTTTGAATGCTTTTCCATTATAAGGAACATAGATTTCTTTAGTATAGTGTTAATAGTTTTTATCTGAATTACTAGTATTGATATGACCCTGAATAATTAATATGTAATTGTATATATGGTACAGTCTACATATTGCCTCTAAAGACATTAAAGAATGAATGGAAAGTGCATTTTAGAAAAGTAGAAAAAAAAGCAAAATAATCAACATTTGGGGATAGATAAAGTATGAATATTACACCTTGCCTGGGATTTGTTGTGAGGTTCTTATTATTTAAGTATAAAGTATCAGGTACTATATATTGAATAGATTGGTGCTGGGGAAGAAATCAAAATGAAGCGAAGAAAGTAATGACTGTATCTTAAAAGAAACAAAAATTAATATATTTATTTTTATTTTAATTTTTTTAGAGATGGGGTCTCACTTTGTCGCCCAGGCTAGAGTGCAGTGGCACAATCACTGCAAACATAGCTCACTGTAGACTTGAACTCCTGGGCTCAAGTGATCTTCCTGCCTTGGCCTCTCCAAGTTCTGGAATTACAGGCAGAAGCCACGACATCTGGACCCAAAACAAGAATTATTTTAAAAGAATTATTGATTTTAAAAGATAGTCTTCTCCATATGATAAACACCCATTGTAAATCTCTTTCTCAAGAAGCTATCACATATATCATGCAGTATGAGTCAGCAATCGGTTGCATCACTACATTCTCACAGCTTTTTGCTAATTTCCTGAGAAGTTAAACTGAATTAGGTGTTGAGTAGGAAATATCCCTCCCCTTCCTCACCAGGCACTGGCTGACTCTGGGGTGTATACCACTGGCCATTCTTGCCCTGCAGTATGACAAACCCCAGGTCACTGCTTACTGGGCCCAGCTTTATGGGTCCTTGTATTTGGCAACACATCATACCAGACGCCAAGGACTACTTTAGAAAGTTATAAAGAATCTCCCTTTAATCGGTGCCTCCAAAACATCCCTTATAATTACTGAATCTCTCCCTACCCGTCACAGCCACTATGTCTCCATTAGGTATTCCAGCTGTAGGAAGTTTTGCCTTTAGAATTATTTAGCACTTAATATTACCTTTTTTTTTTTTTTTTAGACAGAGTCTCGCGCTGTCACCCAGCCTGGAGTACAGTGGCATGATCTCGGCTCACTGCAACTTCCACCTCCCGGGTTCAAGCGATTCTCCTGCTTCCTCCTCCCAAGTAGCTGGGACTACAGGCACATGCCACCATGCCTGGCTAACTTTTGTATATTTAGTAGGGACATGGTTTTGCCATGTTGGCCAGGCTGGTCTTGGACTCCTGACCTCAAGTGATCCACCCGCCTCAGCCTCCCAAAGTGCTGGGATTATAGACGTGAGCCACCATGCCTGGCTTATTAGAAGATGCTGGATCAAGAGATGCAGAGAACTGCTTCCTGCCTGACATACTGAATGGACGTCAGGAGATCACAGTCCTTTTTTTAGAAAAACAAAACAAAACAAAACAAAAGACCTGGAACAGCTGCACCATATATTTCGACAAACAATCCAGAAGTGTAACCAGGCACACAACCATGACTTTGTAACTGAGCACACACACATTACACGTTATACTGGGCAGATGGATGATATACAATGTTGAATGAAGCCGTGACACATTTGCTTTTTTTTCCCTTGGAGAAGATAAATCTTTCCTGCATCTCAAAATAACTCATTTTGACTAGAGTGTCAATTATGGGGTAAAGAGTTAGGCAAATGCCAACCCAAAAATGACTATCTATGGCAAAACTGCTCTCTAAAAGACTGTGTCACTCACACAAGCTGCATAGAAGAGAAGCCATTTTCCTGTCTATCCCATGTTCAGGACAACATCTCCCTTATTTATACAACTAACTAATTTATCTATACAACTAAATAATAGGTGTTTCTCAAAATCTAGAGGTTTTGTGTTTCCAAGAAAATCATCCTTTGGGATCTTACTCCAAACTCATTCTTAATGCTTAATGGACTATTTTGAAATGTATCAATACTGCTTGGGTTTGCTTGATTTTGTTATTTATTCTTTTATACCTACTCTACATACACATACATTTATTAAATTTTTTTTTGAGACAGCGTCTTGTTCCATCACCCAGGCTGAAGTACAGTGTTGCAATCACAGCTCATTGTAGTCTCAACCTCCTAGGCTCAAGAGATTCTCCTGCCTTAGCTTCCTGACTAGTGAGGACTACTCAGGTGCACCACCATACCCAGCAGATTTTTATTTTTATTTTGTAGAGATGGGTCCTTGCTATGTTGCTCAGGCTGGTCTCAAACTCATGGCCTCAAGCAATCCTCCCACCTTGGCCTCCCAAAGTGTTGGGATTACAGGCCTGAGCCACCACACACAGACATGGGGATTTTAAACATAGAAGGAGGCCAAAAAATAAGAATCAGAGGGAGAGGATGTAAAAAAGACTAGAGTGGCCGTTTCTGGCTTTGAAGATGGGAGGCAGCAACAAGCCAAGGAATGAGGATACCCTCCAGAAGCTGGAAAAGGCAAGAAAACAGATTGCTCTTTAAAAAGAAATGCAGATTGGGAGAGTGGCTCATGCTTGTAATCCCAGCACTTTGGGAGGCCAAGGTGGGCGGATCACTTTCAGCTCAGGACTTCGAGACCAGCCTGGCCAACATAGCAAAACCCAGCCTCTAATAAAAAGAAAAAAATTAGCTGGGTGTGGTGGTGGGCACCTATAACCCCAGCTACTCAGGAGGCTAAGGTAAGAGAATCACCGGAACCCAGGAGGCAGAGGTTGCAGTGATCCGAGATCATGCCATTGCACTCCAGCCTGGGTGAGACTCCAGCCTGGGTGAGATGGAGCAAGACTCCATCTCAAAAAAAAAAAAAAAATGCAGAAATGCAGTCCCGCCCACACATCCACTTTAGCCCATTTCAGACACATTTCAGATGACTAATCACCAGAACTATAAGATAATAAATTTGAGTTGTTTAAATCTGTTAAGTATATGAGAATTTGTTAAAACAGCAATAAAAAACTAATATAACCACAATTTATTATTTTGGTGATGTATACTTTGGGTTATACTTAATTTGTGACTATCATGAAAAAGGCTTCTAATCAACATGTTTGAAATCTTTTTCTGGTGGAAATGTGTACACTTCTGTTCAGTATTTGCAGCATTTATAAGACAGAAATGTTTAACAATATGACATGTAAATCTTCAGCTTTAGGACAGATAGTATCAAAGTTTTCCAAATTGGTTTGACAAATTTATCTGGCATCACTGATCCCATTTATCTGGCATCATTTATTGCTAAACCATCTGATATGATTTGGCTATGCTCCACTCAAATTGCATCTTGAATTATATCTCCCAGAGTTCCCACGTGTTGTGGGAGGGACCCAGTGGGGAGGTAATTGAATCATGGGGTCTGGTCTTTCCCATGCTATTTTTGTGATAGTGATTACGTCTCATGAGATCTGATAGGTTTATCAGGGGTTTCCGCTTTTGCTTCCTCTTCCTTTTTTCTCTTACCACTGCCATGTAAAAAGTGCCTTTCACCTCCCACCATGATCCTGAGGCCTCCTCAGCCACGTAGAGCTATAAGTTCAATTAAACCTCTTTTTCTCACCAGTCTCAGGTATGTCTTTATCAGCAGCATGAAAACAGACTAATACATCATCCTTACCCTATATTTTTAATATGGCTGATTTTTCTTTGCAACAAGGCTACGCTTCCCATGGGCTGCTCCTAGTTAATGACTAAGGGTGGCAGAATATTGAGGTAGACACAGGACTCCTCTGGCAGCCAGCTTTGGCTTGAATACTCCCCTTCATCTTTGCCCACCATTCCTGAGATGTTTGAGTCTAAGTCACTTCCATCCAAACTTTGTCCCTCTGTCTTTCACTAACTAGGGGTGAGAATCAGAGATGCATTCTTGGTCTGACTGCTCTCCCAAGTTTCTTTGCCTCTGTATCTGTGTCCCTCACACAGGCATTTTCTGTGCAAACTACTCATAAATTTAATCTCATCCTGAAATCTTCTCAGAGGATGTGGACTAGCCCAAGTGGTGCCAAAGTGGTCTGAGATAACAGGAGGTAAGACGGTTATTTGGGACAGGTGCAAATGTGAGATGGAACATTTGAGGTAGCATAAAATAGCAACAGGATTATTAAAGATTACACCAGTGGGCTGGGTGTGGTGGCTCACGACTGTAATCCCAGCACTTTGGGAGGCCAAGGTGGGCGGATCACGAGGTCAGGAGATGGAGACCACCCTGGCTAACACGGTGAAACTCCATCTCTACTAAAAATACAAAAAAGTAGCTAAGCATGGTGGTGGGAGCCTGTAATCCAGCTACTTGGGAGGTGGAGGCAGGAGAATCACTTGAACCCGGAAGGCAGAGGTTGCAGTGAGTTGAGATTGCACCACTGCATTCCAGCCTGAGCGACACAGTGAGACTCCATCAGATAAATAAATAAATAAATAAATAAATAAGTAAATAAATAAATATTACACCAGTGGTGATGTGGTAAATTATCCCAGTGGAGCAGGGATGCTGTTGTAGGCTCAATGATACAGGCATTTGAAATCTATAGGGTAGCAAAGGCTATCAATACAGCAGAGGTGGCTGGCTACTGCCAAGATGAGTTGACTCCAGTGAAGGATAATAAGAGACTGAGGGCTGAACAAGTAGATGTTGATGGCTAAGTGCGAGAGCCAGAGAGCCCCGGTGGGAGGTATAAAAGGCCCTTATCCCATCCTAGAAGGGCAGACACAGATGAAAAGCAGGTTGAAGACTTAGTTGCAACAGCAGAGCTCCACAGATGCTTGAATTCTCAGCCAAGGCAGGATCTGCTATGTGAAAAATCAAGATGCAGGAAGAAAAACCTGGGACTCTGAAAACTGAGATCAGGACATCTAGATGACAGTCATGGAATGGGTTGCTTCTGCCTTACCCTAGACCTGCTGGATATGCAGAGGTGGCCCACCCTTCCCTCGTAATGGTTGACACTTATACTGTCCTAGAAGAAACTGCAGAAGTCTCTGTCCCACAAGGAACAGGTGGCCCTCTCAGAAGCTGCCATAAATCTATCCTAGGTGCCAGACTGATACATAGGTTTAAATCCCAGTATAGACTGGCCCTCCAAGCTGGGCCTATAAAGAGATGGTATAAATAAAGAAATATAAGAATCAGGTGGCATGCACCAGCAAGAGCTAGGTGAGTATTTCATGGATATATTGTAGGGTGCTTCATCCAGGGGCTGGAATTGAAGGTGGGATAAGCAAAAAAGGTATTGACTTAGGTGTGCTTCCTCATGACACATAATTTAACATGGATACTAGGGCATAAGGCAAATTTGCTGCTGGGGTGGCTCTTAGAAGCTTGAAACAAACAATGGCCAACTTTGACAAAGTACAAATGCCTGAATTGCCCCAGAATGTGGTAAAGGAGGGACAGAAGAGTGTAAAGGAAGTGGATGTGGTGGCTGACTTTACTTGCCCACTTAACTGGGTCACAGGAGGCCCAGCTATTTGGTGAAATATTATTTCTGGGTATATCTTTGAGGGTGTTTCTGGATGGGATCAACGTTTGATTTGGTAGACTGAGTACAGCAGCTGCCCTTCCCAGTGTGGGTGGTTCTCATCCAATCTGCTGAAGGCCTGAACAGAATAAAAGGCTGAATAAGAAAGAATTTTCTGTGACTGTCTTTGAGCTGGAACATCAGTCTTCTGCCTTTGGATTTGGACTGGAACTTACACCATCAGCTCTCCTGCTTCTCAGGCACTTGGACTCAGACTGGAACCATATCATTGGTTCTCCTGTGTCTGAACTTCTCAGCCTCCATCATTCCATGAGATAATTACTTATTATAAATCCATATATATATACACACACACACAGTGCGTGTGCTGGAGTGTGTAGATTATATAAGGACACAGCACATAAAGGTTGCAGGTGGGGCGATTCCTACAATGCCCATTTACTTCACCAACCAGTCTAACCTCTTCAAAAACTGGGTGGATCCAGGAGAATAACTCTTAGCTAACTACTTCTAACTCAATCAAATAGTAGCCCTTATTGCACTGCATTGCCAGAAGTGGTATAATTACTACAGCATATTTGAAAGTCCTCAGTTACATAATAGGCACCCATTGATTTGATGAACACATTTTTTCCCATTCTGATTAGAACAAAGGATCATACACATTTTTAATTCACATGGTGTAGATAATATTATAGTTTTACCTCTCCTTTTATAGTTTGCCTCTTTTTATCATGTCAAATCTCCTTCCCTCTGACATAATATAGTTTTAAGAATATGAACTCCCACAGAACATCACATTTTTCATTTATTAATGAAACCAATCTAGTTGATTAGGACAAGCAACCCATGGCTAGGGTGTTGGAGACCTCCCAGTTATTGTCTGGAAGCTACCTGAAGGAAGTGAGGCCTCAGCACAAACCCAGGGATGGACTTCAAAGCACGGTAGTTGGGCCTTTGCATAGTTAGGTTCCCTGTAGTTGGAGGCCTTCCAGACCTTTAGGACCTATTCAAGCCCAGATTTATATATAAGACTTTGATTTCATTATGGAGTTATTCAGTGCATGCCCCAAATTACAGCTTAGTGGGTCAGACAACTTCCAGCTCATGGTAGCCAACTTCAATTGCATGGTAAATTGATAGCTCATGGGTAATCTTTACTAAGGCCCTGGAGCAAGCCAAAAGCTGATTTTCAAATAGTTATCTGAATAAGACAGAGTGCCCCTTTTTGAAAGCCTGACCTTATTTTGTGATTCTTCTATGGGGGCCCTACTCAATGGTTGCTATAATATCCTTATCTTCTAGAGACACTTCAAGCACCATCGGACATGCTTAGTAACATGGCTTACACAACAGGGTAGCTTTTGTGGCAGTCCACAACTATTTCAAAGCCTTCTTTTGCTTTGAGTTCATCTAAAAGTTGGAAGGTTTATAAAACACTCCGTATATCGGTTGAACAGTGTACCAAAATATATAACCCATAAGAAAATCAGGCTTCCACTAGGCATTGTGCTTCTTAGTGATAGGATATGCCAGATGCACTAGCTTATCCTTTACCTTGGAGAGAATATCTTGACATGTCCTAGGTCGCTGGACCTCTAGAAATTTCACTAACGTGGTAGGATCCCAAATATTTGTAGGTTTATTTCATCCATTAGAATGCTTATTTCTCAAAAAAAATGTCTAGAATATTTTCTAGGCTCTGATCAACACATATAACCATCATGATACCAATAATGTAGTGGACCAGAATAAGCTCTTGTGGAATGGTAATCAAATTTTCTGCAGATTAAATTATGGCAGAGTGATGAAATATTGGTGAGTTAAGGCTGTGAAGGTATATTGTTGTTCCTTCAGGTGAAACCAAATTGTTTCTAAAATATAGATGGCAGTGGGGGTTGGGCAGAATTTGACAGATGAAGACCTGCATAGTAGATACCTGTATTGTTTTGTTCATAAAGTGACCATATCTGCAATCCCTTAAAAAATGTGGTATTGCGTTTAATTTACTATTTTGGTGGATGGAAGCAGTCCTAGGTTTTTTACTTGGCCTTTCCCATCATAATGTTCCCCATTACACATATGAGGGAGCCAATATGGAGATCTTATCAATTTCATAAATATTTCTAATGCAAGTATTTATTTCAAAAGTAGGTAAATAATCATGGAGTTTGTTTTGGGATCCACCATTAATTACTTGAGTTCCAAAAGCCATCACTCTCACTAGTAGGTCACAATAGCTTTCCCCCAAAAGCCTGTATATTTTCCTTTTTATAATACTCATTTATGCAGGTAAATTGCTGTAAGTTCCATTGGGGGAAATCTGGAAGGAAGATTTACACACAGATTTGGGCATTGTTGTAGGGTTCTTATTCAAAGGGACCTTATTTTTTGCCTAGGACTCCTTTCATTCAAGGGATTCTGGAACTGCAAACAAACTCAAGTTTAAGACAAACTTAACCAACTGTCAACCAGAAAATGTTTAAATTTACCTATAGCCTGGAAGCCCCTACTTCAAATTGTCCTGCCTTTCTGGACCAAACAAATGTGTTTCTCAAATGTATTTGATTGATGTCTCATGCCTCCCTAAAATGCATAAAACCAAGCTGCACCCTGACCAGCTTGGGCACATGTTCTCAGGACCTCCTGAGGGCTGTGTCATGGGCCATGGTCACTCATATTTGGCTCAGAATCTCTTCAAATATTAAAAAGAAAAGAATTAGAGAAAGGACCATGACTCTAAATAGTGACAATTCAGGTCAGATCTCAGTTTATTAAACCAAGATATTTTTGCTTATACAAATTCTGTAAGACTTTAAGAGGAAAGATTACCCACTGCCAAAGATCTTCAAGGATTAAATTGTTTTGATAATCCGATCAAAGGAACAGTGTGACCTCCCTGAAAGCTCAGGCTTGAGATTCTGTGAGGAGGGTAATCACAAGACGAATGTTTTCCTCATTTAAAACTAATTTCAAACTAAAAATAGCTGCAAAAGCCTCTACTTATCTTAGCAAGGTATGCAGGCTGGCAAGGGACAGGGATTACAGTGCTAGAAAATATACACAATAAATCCTCCAATGTTTTATCACTGGATATATTACTTAGAGACAACGAAGTAGCATTTGTCACATATGCAATGTGTCTTTTATCAGTAACATGTGTGATTAATTATTTTTGGAACATACACAAATTAAAAATAAATATTCTGTTAATCTGTTATAATACTCATTCTCATTACAGTAATAATGCCCAGTCTATCTCTGTTGATTAGAAGCTGCCATTGGGATTCTGCCCCTCTAAAATTCCGTCATTGTCACTGAATTCAAGAGCCACATTTTGATGGCAGTATCTCTCACTCTAGTTTCTTTCCTGTGGAGAATAGCCATTTACTGAGTAGGTTTTCAATAAATTATGCTCTCTTCACCAATGTATTTTTCAAAGACTTGATTTAAGAGATATCCTGTAAACCTTTTCTATGAAGAATAGTTAGGTGAAGGGGAAGTTTACTTATGAAAAGTCCATTCCCTTGTTCTTATCTAAGCCTTCAGATACTTTAACCTACAATTTACCAATGAAATTCTGGCATTACAGTTTCATTTAATGCAGGCCACTGTTGGTCTGGTTTCATTCAGCCTATTAAGCCAAATGCTAGAACCATGCCAGATGCCCACACTAACAAATCTCAGCTAGGCTACCTAGTTAGTGCATTTTTATCAGTAAATTTGTCTTGTCCAAACATTCTTTTAACCCTGACAGTCCATTCTCATGCATATTCTTAAGATATCTGTGTATATCAATTGGCAAAATCTTGCAATCTGTATGTGCCTATCACATGTTTCCAGGTCACCCTTGGCCTCCACACCTGTAGACTCTGCTGAGATTTGAGTCTAGTTAAAATTCTGCAAGCAATGAGTAGTGATTGGTGATGGAGGGGAAGCTTAAGGAGGATTAGTGTTTTTTGGTGAGCTATCCCATCCTCAGAAAGTGAAAATGTGCTGTCTTTACTGACAATGGAAGATGGATGGATCTGAGGGGTTCACAGAATGTGCCCAGATTTTCTGATCACACTTTTTCAATCATTGTTTATAACTATATTTGAAGAGTTCAGCATGTATTGACATTCAGCCATTTGCAAGATCAAATTTGGGGTTGGTTTTCAGAGATCTTGTCCCTGAAGCTGCAGGGATAAGGGTTTCCTTCAGGATAATCACAGAAACTTTCTGGTTCTTTACTCAGACATTGTGTTGGGAGCTTCAAGCCCTGAACTCATCATCTTTTGTCTAAAAGTTTTTGAGTACCGTCAGAAGAAACCAAGCAACTTCTCCAATGGTCTTTATAATCTTTATCCCCATCATAACATTTCACTGCAGCAGCTACTTGATCGGCCAAAGCTTTGCATAGCCAGTTGACTCTTTCGGGTGACTACAGATGACAACTTAAATAGGTGTTTTACCCTGTATGCCATCACTCCCAGTGTTCCATTTACCGCTTGAAATAGAGTCATTGATGCCTTTGAAGCAAAACAGATCTGAGGATCAGCCCTAAATCCCCAACCTTAAAGTTATGTTACCCTGGAAGCACCTTAATACCAAATCTGTTATCTGTTTTGGTTTGGTTAGAAAAACAGAACTACTACAGGTATGTTTTAGATTGAGTTTCATAGATTCAGAGTCTGAGACAAGAATTCTCATCTAAGTGATTGAGGGTATTCTCAGGAGAAACTGGTAGGAAAGAGAAGGAAGCAGGATAGAACCTGGGGGTAGGGGACAAACACAGATGTTAATTTAACTGTTAATTTAGTATCTAAACTCAGTTCAGTACCATGGTAAAGTCTTGGGCATGAATGGCATCATAAACTTGCCCCACCTTAAGGCAAGGCAGCCAGGATTTTCATCTATGTATCAGTCAGTCATGGGATAAAAGCCACCTCTAGAATTTTTGGGTGAGATAGCATGCATCTACAGGTGATGGAAGTTGTTTGGAGAAGGGAGAGCTGTGTGCCATTAGTCACAGCAGCTGGAGATGAGAGCATTGACCCAGTAAAGGAGATGTAGGCAGGTCACCAACAGTAGCTACTAATGAGGGGGAAAGGGTTTACACAAATGTGGGAGGAGCTGGCAGAACGAAGATCTGCAAAGCTCCAGCCAGAAGCTAGGAAAAGCAGCCATAAGATCTCAACCTCCTGCCCTGGAGCGGAAAGGAACACTGCTGCTACCAGGAAAGCCTATGATGTGCTGTGGAGTGCAGCAAAGACTTGTGTTCAGGTCTGGAAGCTGCACCTGGCTGCCATGGCCTTCTGAAACCTGCCTTCTGTTCCACTTCTGACTTCCAAATCTTCCAAAGTTCTACTCTTTGGAAAATAGTAACCAGGGAATTGTGTTCTGGAAAATGCGATTGTTGGTAATAGTGCCCAGGTGACAACCATCAATACAGCACATATGTCAATTAAGTCAAATTTGCTGACCATGTTTTTAGATGTTGTACATCATCATTAATATTTTGTCATTTTGCTTTATCAGTCATTATGAGAGATGTGTTAAATGTCTCCCACTGCTATTGTGGTCTGGAGTTTTTATTCTTTTGGTTACATCAACTGTCTTTTATATATTTTGAGGTTATATTATTAGGTGAATGCAGATTCAGAATTGTATGTCTTCTTGGTTGTTTGATCCAATTTATTATCCTTTTTTATATCTCCGTGTTATCTTTATCAATTTTCTTTGCTTTAAAATCTGCTGTGATTGTTATTATTATAGTGACACCAGTGATCTTTGGCTACTGTTTGTGTGGTATAACTTTTTCCAAACTTTTATTTCAGTCTTTCGAGGTGTGTTTTTGTATTCGAGGTGTGTTTTTAAAAAAGGCATTAAAGAAATCCATTCTGGGCTGGGTGTGGTGGCTCACGCCTGTAATCCTAGCACTTTGGGAGGCCAAGGTGGGAGAATCACATGGTCAGGAGTTTAAATCCAGCCTGGCCAACATGGTGAAACCCCGTCTCTACTAAAAATACAAGAATTAGCCTGGCGTGGTGGCGGGCACCTGTAATCCCAGCTACTAGGGAGGCTGAGGCAGAAGAATCACTTGAACCCAGGAGGCAGAAGTTGCAGTGAACCGAGATTGTGCCACTGCACTCCAGGCTGGGTGACAAGAGCAAGACTTCGCCTCAAAAAATAAAAAGAAATCCATTCTGATAATCTTTATTCATTGGAGTCTTTGTCCCATTTAACATAAAATGCTATTACTGATATATTTGCGGTTATTCTCATCTCCTATTTTCTTTTTATTCATCTCGCTTGCTTTATTTTCCTTTCTCCTTTTTTACTTTCACAATGATTTTTATTATTCTTCTTGTTAGTACCTTATTGATTGGACATTATTTTACTATTTGATGTCATACCCCAGACTTACAATATGTATTTGAAATGTATTACAGTATGACATAAATATTACCATCATTTTCCAGAAAATGTGAGAATCTTAGAACTCTAACTACACTGCCCTCTCACAATGCAATATATTGAAAATAAAAACTAAATATATTGCTTTAAAGCAGTTATCACTGAGGAGAGGACTAATGTAGTGAAGACAGTTCAATAAAAATATTATGTAAAAGCACAGAGAGCACAAAAGAAGAAGGAAAGTATCCAAAATAAAACTATTCACATTTTAGCAAACCTTATGAAAACCAAACTGTAACAGTAATATTATAAGCAGCAAGAGTTAAAAAGGACATGTCATTTTCAAAGGAACAACATGTAGATTGACATCTGACTATTTAACTAAAACTTAAAGTATAATAATAATAAAAAAAATTTAAAAATAAAAAACCACCTATGAATTGGGAAAACTAAATAAATAAATAAAAACCAGATGATAGTAGAATATCTTTAAAGTGCTAAAAGCCAATGATTGTCATCTTCTAGTTATACCCAGCCAAAATATCCCTTGAAAATAAACACAAAAATATAAAATGGGGGAAAAACCTCATATTATCAGGCAAGTTAAACCTGAAAATATGTCACCTGTATATGCATTGAACAAAACATTAAAAGTAGTTTTCAGCCAGAAGGAAAATATTCTAAACAGAAAAATTGCAATGTAGGAAAAATGCAGTACAATGGAAATGGCCTATATATGGCTCAATATAAATATTGACAGTGTAAGCAATAGCAATAATGTTTTGTGGATTTTAAAACTATGGTGATGGGGAATATATCACTGATTTTCAGAGGTTGGAATTCAGGGAAGGAGTGACAAATGGGTAGCTTGGGGAAGTTTTTTGTCTTATGGAAAGGTTCTATAGCCTGAGTATGGTAGTGCTTATGCATGTATTAAAACCTGTAGGTTTATACACCAAACAATAAAATTAGGAAAATTGCATGAGTATTTTTCTGGTAAAATCTGCGTAAGTTTTAGAAATTGAAAAAAATCATAATTAGAAAGATTCAAACTGTCCGTTGCCTACAATGATGATTTGGTTACTGTTAATCAAAATAGCCAACTCATTCTTGTGAGTTCTAAGAATTTGTGATTGTGGTTTATTTTCTTAATTTATAATTAAAGTTTTCCCAGAATTGTAACATATATACTCATGTGACTCTAAGTCAGTTTCTACTGCTGACATTCAAGGAACCTAGTCAATTCACTCACACTTATTACATATATGTGTGATTATCCATCACCACAAAATTATGAGGATTTAAGTAAAATATTTTTATTTCTCTGTCTATAAGACATTTCTGAAACAAACGCTGTTACTACTAAATATGTGTTGAATTGAACTAAATTTTACATTTTGTTTCAGATTCTAAAGTTAAAACAATGAGTATTAAGGAATATAATATCAAAGGAAAACACAACTGAAATTTAGAAATCCTGATAATGTAAAAAATTCAAAAATATTATGATATCACCCAATGTAAATCAAAGCTAAAATACATTACTGGAGCTGCAAAATATGAAATACCTAGGAACTCATCTAACCAAGGAGGTGAAAGATCTCTATGAGGAGAACCACAAAATACAGCTAAAAGAAATCATAGATGACACAAACAAATGAAAAACATTCCACGCTCATGGATTGGAAGAGCCAATATTGTTAAAATGACCATACTGCCCAAAGCATTTACAGATTCAATGCTATCCCTATCAAAGTACTAATGTCATTTTTCACATAATTAGAAAAATCTATTATAAAATTTATGTGGAAATAAAAAGGACCCTTAACAGTCACAGCAATCCTAAGCAGAAAGAACAAAGCTGGAGGCATCACATTACCTGACTTCAAATTATACTACAAGGCTATAGTAACCAAAACCACATGGTACTGGTACAAAAACAGACACATAGACCAATGGAACAGAATAGAGAACCCAGAAATAAACTGACATACCTACAAACATCTGATCTTCAAAAAAAAAATCAACAAAAATAAGCAGTGGAGAAAGGACTCCATATTCAATAAATTGTGCTGTGATAGCTGTCTAGCCATATTCAGAAGAATGAAACTGGAACCTGACCTGTCATCATATATAAAAATTAACTCAACATGAATTAAAGATTTAAATGTAAAACCTCAAACTATGAAAATCCTAGAAGAAAACTTAGAAAATGCCCTTCTCAACAGTGGTTTTGGCAAAGAATTTTTGGTCAAGTCCTCAAAAGCAATTGCAACAAAAACAAAAATTGACAAGTGGGACCTAATTACACTGAAGAGGTTCTGCACAGCAAAAGAAATTACAAACAGAATAAACAAACAGCCTATAGAATGCGGGGAAATATTCACAAACTATGCATCTGACAAAGGGTTAATATCTAGAATCTACAAGGAAATCAAACAAATCAACAAGCAAAAAACAAATAATCTCATTAAAAAATAGGCAAAGGACATGGACAGATACTTTGTAAACAAAAATGTACAAGTGGCCAATAAACAAGAAAAAATGCTCAACATCACTAATCATCAGAGGAATGGAAAGCAAAACCATGATGAGATACAATGTCATACCAGCCAGAATGGCCATTACTAAAACGTCAAAAACCAACATGTACTGGCAAGGATTCAGAGAAAATGGAACACTTATACACTGTTGGTGGGAATGCAAACTAGTTCAGACACTGTGGAAAGCAGTTTGCAATTCCTCAAGAAACCTAAAACAAGACTACCGTTTGACACAGAAATCCCAACCCTGGGTATATACCCAAAGGAAAATAATTCATTCTACCAAAAAGAAACATGCACTTTTATGTTCATTGCAATGCTATTCATAATAGCAAAGACATGAAATCAACCTAGGTGCCCTTCAACGGTGGACTGGATAAAGAGAATATGGTACATATACACCATAGAATACTACGCAGCCATAAAAAATGAAATCATATCTTTTGGAGCAACATGGATGGAGCTGGAGGGCATTAACCAAAGTGAATTAATGAAGGCACAGAAAATCAGTTATTGCATTTTCTCACTTGTAAGTGGGAGCTAAATATTGAATGCACATAGGCATAAATGTGAGAGCAATAGACACTGGAGATTACTAGATGAGGGAGGGAGGGAGCCATGGCCTGAAAAACCACCTATTATATATTCATGCATATACCTGTGCTCAGTACCTTGGGAGATGGGATAATTTGGACCCCAAAACATAACATCTTCAATATACCCATAACCTGTACATGTACTCTTTAATCTATAATGAAAGTTGAAATTATTTTTAAAAAGCTAAAATCAAATAATACAATAATGCAAATCATGAAAACAAAAGAACGAATGAAAGAAATTGATTTACTGTGCTCATTTATAAACATTCTTATGATTCATTCTGAAATATTGCCTTTATGACACTCATAGTCATATCTAGCCCTTGCATAAAGGACATACTAAAAAGCCAATATGTATTCAAAATTATATTTTTACAAGACATCATGAATAAAACAGCAAAAGCAGAATGATCATTTTTACTCTAAGAATTAGTAACTTGGAATTTAAAAAGTGTTTCTAATGCTGTGTGTATTTCATGCACACAGAAATCGAATAGACTGCTGAAATAAAAGTAGAGATTTCTATAAACATAATAGGTTGTATTAAGCCAGCCATTATGCTGGATACGATTTCCATTTAATGTCAGAAATTGGCTTTTGAAGATGGCACTCTAAAAAATCAAAGCTTTCAATTTTTGCAGCTTCTAAATTGATTAAAGTAGAAAAAGAAATAAGTGTTAAAGAAACATTTTGAGAATACAGACATTCAAATCTCATTTTTGGCGGTTTGGGGGGAGGTAGTGCTTTGTTTTTATTACATAAAGAAAGGAAAAGACATGATGGAGAACAGCAATAAAAAGTAACTGTGTCAGAGAGGGAAAAGTATTCACATCAGAGCTCTCTAGCCCTTCAGTATTAGAATATAAATGCTATATCTTGAAATAAACTAGAAAATGAAGGAATATCTCTTTCTCTTTAAAGTGCCAGATCAGAAGAGGTGAGCTTTTCTCTGGGAATCAGGAGAGCTACCTTCTGAGGTTTCTCTGATCAAAAATGGGAAAAGCAGTGATGTGGAAAGACCTATATTTGAATCTCACAAAACTGGTTTTCAATACCAGTAGTGTTCCTAGAAAGGATGTCAGGAGGCTGGGCACTGTCTAACCCATTCACACAATGAATCAGTGCCTGGGCAGCTGGGAAACCTAATCCCAAAAGTGACACAGGAGCTCCGCTCAGTAATATTTCTTGTACATGCATATGCCTTATTCATGTAAATTTTTGTTTTATTAAAGCAATAAAGGAGCATTGCTATTTGTTGCAAAATTGATGGCGGGGGGAAGTATCACCATAACACTCTGTGTCTTGAGACTAGGACAGCTTATTCACCAGGAGTATTGCTTATGTGGGCATTGCCATTATCTCCTAAAGGAACATTTCAGTGGTGTGAGCTCAGCTTTCTCTCAGCTGTGTCACTGATGGAAAATAAATAGGAATATAGACCTTGGGCAGAAAGTTAGCCAAGGCCACTCCTTCTAACCCTCTTCCAGATTTGACACATCTCTGATATCCTTTCATAAACCATTTCATCTGATTGTGGTCACCCCAATTACTTCCAGGATTTTATTGAAACTGCTTTAGTCTGTGTATCATGCTTTTCTTTTAGTGACTAGTACTTAGTATACATTTCATGCTCAATAAATATTAAATTAATCATTCTAGTCCACATCTATCTGAATGCCAACAAACCGGCATAAATTAGGACTAAGACTACAATTATATAAATCAGTAAGGAACACCATTTACCAGGCATGTGACTTCTACATTGGACACTTTACGTAGCCTTTTAAAATTTCCGTTTTATCATCCATAAAATCCTGTTATTGTCCTACAAATTACAACACAGCACCTACAAAAGGTCTTTCACAGAGCCTAGCATGTCATACATGCTATTGCTATTATTTTTATTGTTAATATTAACATTTGCAAATGACAAATGAGCCCTCCTTTCTCAGATTTGTGAAGCTGCTTTTCCTCTTTATCCACTACCTTAATAAATGATCACTCACAAGAAGTAAAATTTCAAAGCACCAAATCAGCATAGGTCAATGACAAATGGCACTTTGTTTCTTTGGTCAATTTTATTTTTTCCAGGACACACATGCAACTTCATTTGTCCCTTAATGGCAGTTTGTATTAGATTTTCCTTTTTTTTTTTTTTAAGACAGAGTCTCACTCTGTTGCTCAGGCTGGAGTGCAATGGCACGACCTCAGCTCATTGCAACCTCTGCCTCCTGGGTTCAAGCAATTTTCCTGCCTCAGCCTCCTGAATAGCTGGGATTACAGGCATGCGCCACCATGCCTGGCTAATTTTATTTATTTATTTGTTTTTAGTAGAAACGGGGTTTCACCATGTTGGTCAGGCTGGTCTCGAACTCCTGACCTCGTGATCAGCCCGCCTTGGCCTCCCAAAGTGCTGGGATTACAGACATGAGCGACCGTGCCTGGCCAGATTTTACATAATTTCTAATCGTGATGCTACTCTTTCTCCTCTCTGTTCATTTAATAAAATGTTGAGGGGGGGCACTTTATTTTCAAACAGTTTTTTTTTTTTTTAATTCCATAAGGCTTTCATTCACTCTCCTTAAATGGAAGGCTCAAGAAAAGGCACTGAATGGTGTTGTGGTGGTAGTGGTTTTAACACCTCCAGAAATTGATGAGACAAGATATTTTTGAGAGGGGCTATTCAAGACTACATTTGTTTATTTTTACTTAAATCATTTTTCTGCAATACTAAATATAAACAATAGGCAATTTAGACTCATAGAACACTAATAAAAGGCAAGACATTCAGTTTGGAGGAAGAGCATGAGGACAGAGCTGTGCTCAGTTGTGAATGATAAGCTATTTGCTCTACAGAAAATACCAGTGCTGGAAGATGACCCAGTTTCAATGAGAAAATCACTGCACACATCCGGCGCATGTGTAAGTAGAACAATGGTTAATTTAATCTGTGAGTCACAATGAACAGGTAGTTGCCCTCTAAATTTTACAGGGGAATTTAAACCTACTGGTCATAAAGTAAGGGAAGCACTACTCATGGCTGGAAAAAAAGTGAGGATGAGACACAATGACAGCATTGTCATCAAATAATAGCTGCCACCAGCCTTTTAAACCTTTGCCATTATGATCGCCTATGTGAATTCAGTTATATTTATAGGAGATTCATGTTACAAAGGGAACAATATTAAGTCTTTCCTCTCTCTCACTCCTATTTTTAACCACCTGCCATGTCCTATTATATCTGCCTACTAAAGCTCTGGGGCGAGTAGGGGACAAAGTATTCACATCAAAGCTCTCTAGCTCTTCACTATTAGAATATAAATGCGACATCTTGAAATAAACTAGCAGATGAAGGAATATCTCTTTCTCTTTAAAGTGCTGGATCAGAAGATCTGCAACTCTAAAAACAAAGAACAGGGCCGGGCGTGGTGGCTCACGCCTGTAATCCCAGCACTTTGGGAGGTCAAGGCACGTGGATCACGAGGTCAGGAGTTCGAGACCAGCCTGGCCAAGATGGTAAAACCTTATCTCTACTAAAAATATAAAATTAGCCAGGTGCGGTGGCAGATGCCTGTAATCCCAGCTACTCGGGAGGCTAAGGCAGAACAATTGCTTGAACCCGGGCGGCAGAGGTTGCAGTGAGCCGAGATCGCACCACTGCACTCCAGCCTGGGCGACAGACTGAGACTCTGTCTCAAAAACAAACAAACAAACAAAAAACCAAAAAACAAAAAAACAGACAACTTAGACCAGGGAGCACTGCTAAGTGCATCATGTCTGCACTAGCAGTGCCTCAGGACTCACTTGCTACTTTGAATTTGTTTCTGGTTTTGCTCCATTTTAACCCATTCTTCTGATTGCAGAGTAATATTTCTAAGCTAAAAATAATTTACTTTCATGTACTTATTAAATTTCAACCTTTCTTAATTGCTTTCAGAAAGATACTCAGATTTCTTACCATGGCCCCTTATAATTTTCTAATAAGGCCATATACTAACTTTTTCCTTTTTCAGAGAACAAATGAAATCAGTAGATTGTATCTGTTACTTTGAAGGCAAGATAAGCCCAGGGGTTTGCATATTGGTAGTGAAAAGAGGGAATTTTCAGTATCTGAAAGTCTCTTTGCCAATGTCTCTCTTTATTTATAGATTATGCTTGCTTGCTTTTTTAGATGAGACATGTATATCACGAGATATGTGTATTCTATGTTTGTATATGTAAATAGATATATTACAAGAATATTTTATATTTTGCTCACAGCTAGGACTTGATGTTCTCTTGTTGAACATCAACAATCTCACAAAACAACAACATTGGAGGAGGCCAATGTGTGACCATGAAATAGAGTGAAATCAAGACCACTTCATATTTTGTCTAATCACAGGCAAAAGCAAGGTCACTGTACACCATATAGCACCTAACAGCCCCTACTTCTTGGCTAATATGATTGATGCTTATTTATTAGTTATGGCTCCAACCTCACTCTAGTCTGCCTTTTTCTAGAAAAGATTTATTAACATACCCAAACATAGAATTGTCTCATGACTTCTGATATCCTCCAATTTAGAGAAAATCTCTGCTTCCTTGTATCTTTACCAAAACCACCAAAACCAAGGCCAAAGTCTTAAAGAAGTCCTATCTCACAGCTTTTCACTGAAATGCTTCAACGATTCTCATATTGTGTGGTCTCCCTAGTGGCAACAAGAATGAAACCCAATGTATTCACAACCATAGGTGTGTTCCTGGTAGTCTCTCAACAGTGAGCACATATATACATACACGGGTGTGTGTGTGTGTGTGTGTGCGCGCGCGTGCACGCATGTATATTCCATGCCCATCAAAGATTAACTCCTCTTTCCATCCCAATTACTTAGTGAGCACCTATAGGAGTCGGAGGTTTTCATGAATGGTTGAAAACACACACATTTAGTGGTGTTTTCACCACCAACATTCCTTTGCTCTTTAACACAAATATGTTCTTTGTTTATTTCCTAAAGCACACATATCTTGTGTATTTGTCCATTTATCTGTTTCTCTACTTTCCCTAATAAAATAAAATTCCATTAAAAGAAGGGGCTATGATAGCCTTTTCTACTTTTGATTCTGAATGCCTAACATATTGCTTGGCATATAGTATGTGGTCAATACATTTTGTCTGAATGATTGAATAAAGGATATACCAGCAATTGTTTTAAATAAAGCATTCTATTGCAAATGATTACAAAATATAAAACATCCAGTTATAAGTCAACAAGATAATATCTAATACCTAAAAGTAGAAAATTATTAGTTACATTTAGGAACAAAAGAAAAAATAATTAATAGAAAAACTAAATGTTCCTGGAATCAGAAAAGAAAATTTAAATATATGAATTCATAAAAATTCTTGATTTGTATTTAAATCCTGATTTTCAGACTTTCCCTGCTTTAAATGAACTTGACAGTTTTAAGGAGTATTGGTCTATCATTTTGTAGAACACTCTTCTGTTGCAATTTGTATGATGTTATCTTCATGGGTAGACTGGGGTTATGGATTTTGTTATATCTTTAATATCTTTTATTTATAGAGGCAAAGTGCCATTTTCATCACATCACAGCGAGGATACATTCCATCAAAATCATTTGTCATTATTGATACTGACTTTGAGCACTTGGTTGGGCTAATGTTTGCCTTCTTTCTACAAAATACAGTTCCTTTATTATCCCTTTTTAAAATTTTACTGTATTCTCTGGAAGAAAGTGACTATGCACAGGCTGCACATAAGATAGATTTGTAGTATTCCATGGTGTATATGTGCCACATTTTCTTAATCCAGTCTATCATTGTTGGACATTTGGGTTGGTTCCAAGTCTTTGCTATTGTGAATAATGCCACAATAAACATACGTGTGCATGTGTCTTTATAGCAGCATGATTTATAGTCATTTGGGTATACACCCAGTAATGGGATGGCTGGGTCAAATGGTATTTCTAGTTCTAGATCCCTGAGGAATCGCCACACTGACTTCCACAATGGTTGAACTAGTTGACAGTCCCACCAACAGTGGAAAAGTGTTCTTATTTCTCCACATCCTCTCCAGCACCTGTTGTTTCCTGACTTTTTAATGATTGCCATTCTAACTGGTGTGAGATGATATCTCATAGTGGTTTTGATTTGCATTTCTCTGATGGCCAGTGATGATGAGCATTTTTTCATGTGTTTTTGGCTGCATAAATGTCTTCTTTTGAGAAGTGTCTGTTCATGTCCTTCGCCCACTTTTTGATGGGGTTGTTTGTTTTTTTCTTGTAAATTTGTTTGAGTTCATTGTAGATTCTGGATATTAGCCCTTTGTCAGATGAGTAGGTTGCGAAAATTTTCTCCCATGTTGTAGGTTTCCTGTTCACTCTGATGGTAGTTTCTTTTGCTGTGCAGAAGCTCTTTAGTTTAATTAGATCCCATTTGTCAATTTTGGCTTTTGTTGCCATTGCTTTTGGTGTTTTAGACATGAAGTCCTTGCCCATGCCTATGTCCTGAATGGTAATGCCTAGGTTTTCTTCTAGGGTTTTTATGGTTTTAGGTCTAACGTTTAAATCTTTAATCCATCTTGAATTGATTTTTGTATAAGGTGTAAGGAAGGGATCCAGTTTCAGCTTTCTACATATGGCTAGCCAGTTTTCCCAGCACCATTTATTAAATAGGGAATCCTTTCCCCATTGCTTGTTTTTCTCAGGTTTGTCAAAGACCAGATAGTTGTAGGTATGCAACATTATTTCTGAGGGCTCTGTTCTGTTCCATTGATCTATATCTCTGTTTTGGTACCAGTACCATGTGGCACATATACACCATGGAATACTATGCAGCCATAAAAAATGATGAGTTCATGTCCTTTGTAGGGACATGGATGAAATTGGAAATCATCATTCTCAGTAAACTATCGCAAGAACAAAAAACCAAACACCGCATATTCTCACTCATAGGTGGGAATTGAACAATGAGATCACATGGACACAGGAAGGGGAATATCACACTCTGGGGACTGTGGTGGGGTTGGGGGAGGGGGGAGGGATAGCATTGGGAGATATACCTAATGCTAGATGACGAGTTAGTGGGTGCAGCGCACCAGCATGGCACATGTATACATATGTAACTAACCTGCACAATGTGCACATGTACCCTAAAACTTAAAGTATAAAAAAAAAAAAAAAAAAGAATCAGTTACACACTGGCAAAAAAAAAAAAAGATAGATTTGTAAAATTTTATCTTATGCTTCCAGTAATAATTCAATGCTACATAATTTATCTTGTTGCTCAAATTGTTTTAGCTGCAGCCAAACTGGAAGCTCTTTCAGTTGGCTCCTGTGTTTTGTTTTGTTTTTGGCATAGCCCATCAAGGTGAGTTTTCTTTTCTCCTGGAGCAATCCCTTACTTTCTGGCACTACAAGATGCTCCAGGCTCATCCTATATATTTCTTTCCGCCATGCCTAGAATCAACCAAATTCCAAGGATCCCTGGTTCCACTTATTAGAGAATAGTAGTATAAACCAAGACATGGGCATTAGGTATGCTTATTATTATTTCTTAGGTATCATGGCTTCTAGACTCTCTCAGGAGATAGAGCATGGAAATATATGTGCATATGCTAACCTGTATACACACATATTTATGAATATTTCTGTATGAACCATCTATACCTATATTAAGGTAAACATGAGTTAATATTTATGTCTCCAATATTAATCCATTACCACATGGGTCATTTTATGTCCTTATCTGCAAATTTCCACTCCAAAAGTGAGAAACCCGCCTTCTATTATCTGCCATTCATTTACTCAATTGTTTAATTCTGGTATACATATATAGCAGTATCAGAAGTATTAACCTATGCCACCATGAGAAATAACTTTATCAAATAGAGTACATTGCTTATATCAAGTTCTTTTTGCCTTAATTTTGCAGACTCTAATCATTTCTAAAGTTACTCAGGACAGCAACTTTTATCTGCATCCCCTTTACTGAGGTCGTTTTACACATTTGTAATACAGTGAAATATTTATTTTGTGACACGATGCATACCTTCTTGGTAGCCATTAAGGACAATATGCATTCCTTCCAGGTAGCCATTAATACCCTAAGTGGTTTTTAAAGATGTGTACATATTAAGGCTATGAAGTTCTTTGTGTTTGAACAAATGTGTAATGTCATGCATTTACCTTTCAGAGTCACACAGAGTACTTTCATTCAGTTAAAAATCCCCTGTGCTTCACCTGTTGAACACCTCCCATCTCCTCCTGACAATCACTGATGTATTACTTCTCTATAGGTTTTTATTTTCCAAAATGCCATATCCAACTGGCCCTGCATATCTGTGGGTTCTGTATCCCCAGGCTCTGTATCTTTGGAATCAATCAATCTTGTATTGAAGATATATTTTAAAAAATCAATAAAAAGTAACAATACAAATAACAATTTATTTGTATCAAAATTATACCAATAAAAACCAATACAACTACTTATACAGCATTTCCATTGTGTTAGGTATTATAAGTAATCTAGAGATAATTTAAAATAGATAGGAGAATATGCTTAGGTTACAGGCAAATATTATGCCATTTTATATAAGGGGCTTGAACACCTGTAGATTTTGATATCTCCGAGGGGTGGAGAGTATCCTGAAACCAGCCCTATGTAGATACAGAGGAAAAACTGTAATTGAAATTATATAGTAGGCAGCCTTTTCAGACTGCCTCATTCTGCTTAGACTTATGTGTGTAAGGTCTCTTCATGTCTTTTTGTGGCTTCAGAGAACAGTTTTTAATATTATTGGATAGTATTCCATGGTATGAATGTACTTCAGTTTGCTTATCCATTAACCTACTGAAGAACAATTTTGTTGCTTCCAGTTTTTGGTGATTATGAATGAAGCTGCTATAAATATTCATGTGCAGGTTTTATGTAAACATAGTCTTCAAATCAGTTAGGTAAATACTGACAGCATGATGATTGCTTGATCGCATGGTAAGACTATGTTTAGCTTTGCTGTAAACTGCCCAACTCTCTTCTACAGTGCCTGTACCATGTTGTGTTCTAAGTACATTTGGTTCTAAGTACATTTGTGTTCTTGATACATTTGGATACAAGTCGTTAATCAAATATGTGTTTTCCAAATATTTTTACCCACTGTGTAGTGTGTCTTTTCATTCTTTTAACTTCTCTTCCACAGAGTAGAAGTTTTTAATTTTAATAAAGTACATCACCAATTTTTTCTTTCATGGACCATACTTTTATTGTTGTATCTAAAATTCATCACCAACCCAAAGTCACCTAGATTTTCTGCTGTCTTCTTCTAGAATTTTTATAGTTTTACATTTTATATTCATGTCTGTTATAAAGAGTTTCATTCTGTGATTTGATATTTGACTTTTGACAGCTTTTAAATCTTACCCCTCTTTCTTCCCCTCTTGTTACATATCTTGGCAAGCTGATAAGAAAGCTCAGTGATCCCTACTTTGACACTGGCAAGACAGTCAAATACACAACCCCTTGCCTGCATGCAGCTTGCAGGAACCCTCAAGCCAGCACCAGACTCTTCCACCATAAACACCCTAAGCTTTTCTCTTTTTCCTGCTTTCTCAAGCTATTTCAACCCAAGGGTAATCTGCTATGCTCTGCCCTGAAAGCCTCATAATGTAAGTAATAAAACTTTTCATACCCTAATGGTGTGTGTGTGGTGTCACCAGTCTTGACATCCAGGTCAAATTTGAGGTGAAGTCCATCTTCACTTTAGAATAATTGTCTCTTTGAGTGAGATGTCCTGAAGTTGACCACTACCCTGGGTGTCTTTCTTCTCTTGCTCTGACTAGCTACCTAGTTCTGCTGCCTGCTGGATAACCTGCTCATTGAGCTGTGCTGCTTTGTGTTGTATTTTCTGAGTTCTACCAAGTTTCTGTTATAGATTTAATGGAATTAAGTCAGAAGTTTGGTTAACGGGCATTTCAGAACAGGTGTATGGGATTGAGGTCTTTCTTAGAGTGACTTTGGGGCCTGTGTCTCAGCCCAGACCTGTTTGGGTATCTTAGATTTAATTACACTTCTCAATTTTAGCATAAGCTGCAACTAATGCTAGGCTCAGGCAAAATGTCTTACCTTGGGACTATTGGTGCTGTGTCCCTACCGGATGTTGGATCCTATTTAATAGAGTTCTCAATGGAATGCTGCTGTGTGTCATATGGGACCATTGGGTAGTCACTTTTGTGGAGGAAAAGCAGTCACTATTTGAAGACCAGTCATTATTTGAAGAATTGAGTTACTGAAAGCCACACTCCTAAAGGCAGATTGCTCTTTATATGGGTCTACAAATGCCTTTGCTGCTGCTGTCTGTGCCTCTGTTGCAAACAAAACAAAACAAAACAAACCTCTATTAACATGGCTATGAGGAAGAAGACTCCTAGCAGTCTTATGGTACAGAATAGGGGTTAATCCAAACGTGGTCTAAACTGGGGTCCTTAGATCCTTTAAAGAAACAATTGCCCTAAGGGAGATACTTAACCCTGATGCTACTGATTTGAAGCTCTTTGAATAAGGAAATTTATAAATATAAACAGGATAGAGAGAACTCTCTCCCCAAAGTATATCCAAAAACCACACACATGAGGCAGAAAGAGAGAGCATCTGGAAACATGGAGACATCGGAAGGAAACACCACCAACAACAATAAAATGAAACAGAGGTCCACAATTTGAGCCAACTGTAATCCAAAATTTACTAAAATATAAATGGTTGCTCATTGGCTTCTATACCTTACTGACATAGGTTGCGAATTAATCTTAACATCTGCTGAAAGGTACCAATGGCAAAACATCATGGCCTTTATCAATACTGGGGCTCAAATAACAGTAATACCTGGTCATCCCGCTAAATTTAACAAGGTACACTCTATAAGACTAGGGGAGTTACTGGACATAAAATAGAAAGCAAGGAAATTTGTCTCATCTTAACTACTGGAACTACTGCCTTGTCTAAATTTCCATGGTCTTGGCAAACATTGCTCAAAAATATCTCATAGCAGGCTTGGACACTCTGAGCAATATATTAAAATTAAATTAATTCTTTGACACTTACAAATTGACTAGGCAAAATGAAACCGCAAAGATCACTCCTCTCTCAGCTAAAAGAGTTACTGATTCCATGTAAATTAAAATAGGGCCTTCAACAATGAAATGCATTATACAAGACCAGCTAGACCACTCTTTATTTAACAGCCCAGTTGTGCCTGTTTATAAACATGGAAAACAGGAATGATTCCTCACAGCACTACAAGAACCCTAATGCCATAGTCTCACCCATTAAGGTTCCCATGGCCTATGTTATTGATAAGTATTTTGCTATGGGGAAGCATTTTGCTGTTGTAGATTTGGTTAATGTGTCCTGCTCAGTGCCTACTTCAATAGCCTGCCAACTAGTTTACCTTCCCCTCCAAAGAGGCATGGTACGCCTTTCTCCAGCTATCCATGGGTACCTGATTAGTGTTGCTTGCCATCACACACAGCCTTTGCAGGCAAGATCTGAACTGTACCCAATTTTCTCCAGGAGTGCAGGAATGATGTGAAACTGATGGCATCCTACTCTGAGGAGATGCCTTTGATAATCTCATTAGGGAAATAAAAATACTTACAAAGAAGCTCACAAAATGTGAATGGGACATTACCCCCCACACAGTGCAAGGCCCTTCCACCTTGGCTAGATGCTGGAAGCTTATTTGGTAAACTGAGAGCCGCTCCATCCTGCTACTGTCAAGAAACAGCTATTGAACTTTTAAGCACCCACAATGTTAAAACAAGCCTAATCTTTTAGGCCTTTTGGAGACATGAAGGCAAAAACTGTGTTCATCATTTACAAATTTTACTTATGTGCATTTATGCTGTTACTTTGAGACTGGTCTACCTTGATGGGGGCTCCCCCGAACAAAGCACTATAGAATCTGTACAAATTGCAATACAATTGTGTCTCCAGAGAGTCCTTCAATATAGAAACTTCATCAACCTCCTTTCATACCTCCTGCAGTTTCTGGACCACCCATCAAGCCCAACAAGTATCCATGGGATCCTACGCCAAGAAACTAGCCTCCTTTACCCCGTGCTATATACCAATAAAGCAGCCATCGCTGGTCATGTACTGTGCTCCCTGGGAAGTCAAGGCTTTCACATACTCTGAGCTTTGACCCTCTGTTCTCAGCTTGCCATTATAATTTGGGTTATGGAAGCTCAACACAGATGCTACCAAAGAATCCTTGCTATAGAATAAAGCCAGTCCTGGGCCCTTTGGCAAATTTCTATGCATGAGGGAGTGGTCTCCCTTGCCCTCAGTCTATTGACAGATGTCATGGTGCTGGAGGAGGTGACCCCTCTCCCAAACACCTTAGCTACCCGGCAGCCCCTTGTAATCAACTGAGTGGACAACAGTGGGCACTCACATAATTTACAGATGGTAACCCCACCACTACATGCGATGGAGTGCGTGAAGAGCTACTGCTTTTCATCCCTTAACCAAGATGTCCCTAACAAAGGATGGGACCCAAGGATCAGCAAAATTATGCTAGCTTCAGGTGGTTATCTTAGTACTGGATTCCCTGGTCAACAATTAGTGCCATCTGCACATTTTTACATGCTCTTGGGTCACTGCCAGTGCTCTGGTTATCTGATCTGGCCAATGGTAGCCACAATAATATCTTGTGTACAATTGCCCCCTTTGAAGAAAATAACTTTGGGAATCTTTTGCCTCAAAGATATCCAAAATATAAAAGTTGCATGTGTCTTTATACATACTAAAGCCAAACACAAGGCCTCATTAAGACACTCTTCCTCTTTAGAGTTCCAGACATTATTGATCGTGATGTAGGCATTCATTTAACTTCTCAGAATATACAAAGCTGAGCCCTTTAATAAAATATTCAAAAGGACCCTCCCTTAATGGCCGCGGGCTACAGGCCTCATAGAGTAGCATGAAGGCTTACATACGTGACTTCAAATTCCATTCAATTTTTTAAAGGCACATTGGAGTCAGCCACTAGTTAAATGTCTGGGGTAAATTGTAATAAAAAGCTCAACTCCGGTTTTTGATGTTTGAGTGCTGACAGCCTTTACACATCACTTGTGCCTTTCTGATCCACATGTGGGCAAGCTGACAGGAAGCCCAGCTGCGCAATCCTTTGGTACCAGCAGAAAGTGCAAACCACCCAGCGCGCTGCCCAGGTTGGAGACCCACCACACAGGTCCCATACCTACCAGCATAAAAACCCCAAGATGGTCTCCCTTCTTTTTTCTCAAGCCATTTTTGGTCTAGCAGGACAGTCTGCCTTGTTCTTCCACAAATGCCTCATATGGAAATAATATGTTTGTTCATAACTTCAGTGTTAACACTGAAGATGGGTAGGAGCCCATCCTGTTTCATCAGAATGTCTGTAACATGGTCTACAGTTCATTTTAATTTTTCTGAAAGATAAAAGGTCTGTGCCTAATTTTTTTTAACAGAACGACATTCCAGCACCATTTCTTGAAAAGATTGTCTTGTTTTGTTTTTAAAAATTGGATTTAAATTGGATTGCCTTTGCCCCTTTGTCAAAGATCAGGTGACTTTTTTTTTTTTTTTTTTTTTTTTTTGGTCTGGGTCTATTTCTAGACCCTGTATTCTATTCCATTGGTCTATGTGACTGTTCTTTTGCCATGCCACACATTGTAGCTTTATAGTAAGTCTTAAACTCAGTTATGTGAGTCCTCAAACTTGGTTCTCCATAAATTAGCTATTCTTGGTCTTTCACCTTTCCATATAGACTGTACAATAAGTTTATTAATATCTACTTGACATCTTTATTTTATTAAGTCTTCCAATATGTAAGTAGAGAATAGCCCTCCATTTATTTAGATCTTGCTTGATTACTTTCAGGGTTTTGTAGTTTTGTACATACTTTGTTAGATTTATGCCCAAATATTTTATTTTACTCATGCCAATGTAAATTACATTTTGGTTTTAATTTTAAACTTCAACTGAGCATTATGGACATATAGGAAATCAGTTGACTTTTGTATATTAATCTTGTATCCTGTAACCTTGCCATAAACACTTATTAGTTTCAAGAGATTCCTCTACTCTCATCTCACCACTATTTTATTTATTTTTTTTATTTTCTACATAGACAATGAGGTCATGTGTAAAAAAACTATTTTTTTCATCTTCCCTAATCTGTACATATTTTATATCCTTTTCTTATCTTATTGCATTAGCTAGGACTTCCATTATGATGTTGACAGGAGTGAAGAAAGGAAACAACCTTGCCTTTTCCTCAATCTTAGAAGAGTATCTACTTGACATCTTTATTTTATTAAGTCTTCCAATATGTGAGTAGAGAATAGCCCTCCATTTATTTAGATCTTGCTTGATTACTTTCAGGGTTTTGTAGTTTTGTACATACTTTGTTAGACTTATGCCCAAATATTTTATTTTACTCATGCCAATGTAAATTACATTTTGGTTTTAATTTTAAACTTCAACTGAGCGTTATGGACATATAGGAAATCAATTGACTTTTGTATATTAATCTTGTATCCTGTAACCTTGCCATAAACACTTATTAGTTTCAAGAGATTTCCTCTACTCTCATCTCACCCCTATTTTATTTATTTTTTTTATTTTCTACATAGACAATGAGGTCATGTGTAAAAAAACTATTTTTTTCATCTTCCCCAATCTGTACATATTTTATATCCTTTTCTTACCTTATTGCATTAGCTAGGACTTCCATTATGATGTTGACAAGAGTGAAGAAAGGAAACAACCTTGCCTTTTCCTCAATCTTAGAAGAGTATCTAATTTCTCACCATTAAGTATGATATTAGCTGTAGGTCTTAAAAACATGTTATTCATCAAGTTGAGGAAGTTCCCCTCTATTTCTATTTTGCTGAGAGTAATTATAATGAACAGTTATATAGATTTTCTAAAATGCTATGACATTATTTTTCTGCTTCAGCCTGTTGATGTGGTATGTTACCCTAATTGAATTTCCAGTGTTGAACCAGCCTCCCGTATCTGGAATAAATTCTACGGTGTTGTGGGTATAATAATTTTTACACAATGTTGGATTAATTTGCTACTATTTAGTTGAGGATTTTTGCATATATGTTCATAAGGGATATTGGTCTGTATTTCTTCATTCTTTTAATGTCTTTGTCTGACTTTAATATTAGGGTAATGCTAGCCTCACAGAGAGAGTGAGAAAATGCTCCCTGTGCTTCTATCTTCTAAAAGAGATTATTGATATCATTTATTTGTAAACATTTGATAGAATTCACCAGTGATATCTGAGCCTCATGCTGTCTTTTTGAAAGATCATTAATTATTCATTCAATTTTTAATAGATTAATGGTACACAATCCACACGCCTCAGCCTCCCCAGTAGTTGGGACTACAGGTGCATGCCACTATGCCCAGATAATTTTTCTATCTATTTTGGTAAATATGGGGTTTTGCCATGTTGCCCAGGCTGGTATCTCTTCTCTCTGAGTGAGTTTTGAAAGCTTGTGTCTTTGAAAGAACTGGTCTATTTTATACAGTTTTAAATTTGTGGCCGTAAAGTTTTTTATTGTATTCCTTTATTATCCTTTTATTTTTCATGGTGTCAGTTGTAAGGATCCTTTTTCATTTCTGATATTAGTAATTTGTTTCCTTTTTTATTCTTAGCTTGGCTGGAGGCTTAGCAGTTTTTATGTTTTCAAAGAACCAGCTGTACTGTCTGTTTTATCCAATTTTTGTTTTCCATTTAATTGATTTCTGATTTAATTCAATATATAAATTATAAAATATGTTCAAAGTTATATTGTGGAGGTCTATTTATATTTGAAACTGAATTCTAATATTAATAGCAAAGTCAAATGTCATATCTTGTTCATATTACTAACATGGTTAAGGTGATTAGATATAGGTAGGAATCCATACAATCTCATAATCATTGACTTCACTCAATTTTGGGAGTGGCAGGAATGATGCTGCAGAATGCATTTAGATTTGAAACTTCAAGGAAAAAGCCAAAGACAATTAACAGGATTTGGGAAAATATCACCTGAAGCTAAATTTTGGTGCATTACTAGTTTCATCTTATTTTCCATTGTGTCTTCAACCTCAGAACATTATGGATGCAACGAATAAGACATACATAAAATAAATGAGTGGTGGAGAAGTAATTTGTTGTAATATTTTCTCAAGAGCAAATTGGCAATATATTTCATGACCCTTAGATTTTTCAAGTTCATTGATTACACTTTTCAGAATCTTATCTCTGATTTTCCTAATATCTTCAAAGAAAAATTTACAAGAATATTAATTATTGGGTTATTCATAAACACGAAACAATATAGACTAAGTAAGAAAATGAAAACAAATGTATAAATAATTATAGTATGTATAAATGAAATATTACATATCCTTCAAAATTATGATTTCAAATAATTAAATCCATAAATTTGTCTTCAAATTAAATGTTGTAAAGTATAAATTTATGAAGAAAATAAGGTCAATCTTATGGAAAATAAGACTGAAGGGAAATGTTAATTGTGTTTTCCTGAATGATGTGATTGCAGGTTATTTTATGAGGATTAATTTTCCAGTTTGTGTTGGCTATCATTTTATTAATATTTTGAACTTTCTTTTAATTAATTTCCTTTAATTTCTAAATTAAGAACGCTTTATTTTTATGAGAAAAATATTAAATAATATAAAGGGGACATTTCATAATGTTACTTTCTTCCAAATTTACTCCTTTAAAAATTATAAAAAAGAGTAATTTTGAATTCTTAAGGTTTCAAAAGCTCGTGACTAGAAATGAAGACTTTGAACTATTTATCCAGATGGTAGAAAACCTTAGCCATAGAGAAAAAAAGAGACAAGGATTAGAAATTTTTCCATTTCATATAAAATCTGTCACTTTCAGCATTGTCAAAGAAGGGATCCTTAATAATGATATAAATTAGTCTTTGCTGTAATAAACCCCAGAGCAGGCTTCATATAATTACCTGCATAAGAAATAGCTTAATGGTACACTTAACCTTGGACTATGGCACCTGCAAATTGGTGCGTCTGTTCTTCTGACTTTTCACATGCCGCTCTGATTTGCAATTGCTATTTATATTTTTGGTCCACGGTGTTTTAATATGTCTTGGCAATAGGAAGGGCCACTCATTGTACCTTATTTCAGCTGTTCAAGAGGGAACTGCCTATATCATTGAGATCCTAATGAGAGCAGAAAAATGAGAATCTTAAATTTATCATGCAGTTTATAGTTTCAGACAGAATATTCCAAACAAGACTTCCCAATAGGGTAAAAACAAAAATAACTACTGTTTTAATCTGATATGGCAAACAAATATACAGAAGCTTCTCTTTACTTATGAAAATATTATTTGTAAGTTGAAAATGAAATGGGACTTTGAATATTTGGAGAAACTCACTCTAAAATCTCAAGGATGTGATGGAAGCTTTATTTAACTATCATGATGTAAAAAAATAGATTGTAATTGAAAAATAGCTTTCATCTGTTTAGAGTTTTCTGAGACACTCATTATTTGTACTTCTCTTTTGATAATGGGATTATGAGGTGTGACCTTCCACTTAGAGATGAGAAAATCTAATCATGAGTTTATATTCCTTCATATTTCTACTAGTCAGAGGACTGCCTGAAGAGGAAAGCTATGTAAGTGATCTCAAAATTGTGCAACTTGACCTTTTTTTTTCTGATTGCAATTCCTGAACATTGAGGCTGTGCCTGCCTACTCAAAGTGCTACTTCTGGGACAAATGGATCAGCCTGTTTCATGTCCATATTCATTAGTGAGTATAGGCTGGGTTATCCTGCACTAAGAACAAATTCCCAAATCTAGACCTTGAAATCCTGTTAGTTAATTATTATACATGCTGTTTGCTACATGCCAAGGAGGCCTGCCAGGGCAGTAGTCTTCTATGTGATGACTCCACGTAACTTCTCCATACCATCAATTGCATTCATGATAGCCACAGCAGAAAAGAAGACTGACAGATGTGTACAAGGAAATGCTCCTGCCCAAAGTGACACACATCATTTCCACTCACACTTTTTGAACAAAACTAATCACATAGCCACACTTAATTTGAAGGGCACATGGAGATACAAACCCACAGTACATCAGGTCTTCCTGGTGTAAACCAGAGATACACAGTTGTATCATCTGTCACGTCTTGCACTTGAGATTTGCCAAAACCCGGAAGTATTTATCATTAGTAAATAAAAAATGTGCTGCCTTGATTCCATGTTTGCATTTTACAGAGGTGAGTCATGTAGGCTCTGTGTGCGTATTTTTATATGTTAACATATATAACTAGTTGGAGACAAACAATATTCAAGCATGTGCTATATGATCCTCCTAATTGTGAATGTCACCTAGACTTATTCTCCAAGAAAAAAAAAAAAAATCTGTCGAAAGCATTTGAAAAAGTGATGATTCCCTTTAGTTGCCTAGTACAGGTGAAAGATCATTGGTTATAGAGAAAAATCTCAATTTTAATTCTAGGTTTTCAGAGTGTCAGGTAGCTTTCATATATTGACTATATATATAAAAAAATTATTATATATATACAGTTTCTATTTTATTGTTAGGACTAAATGGGACACACATACATGAAAAGAGGCCACAACATTGTTTGGCAGATGCAATGGCTGAGATTAGAGCCATATCAGCCTGACTGTTCCTCACTTAAGTGCATCATTGCTTTTTAAATGGTTAAATATCTTACATCTCATCCTAAGATATAAAACAATGCATGTAAATAACATAAAAACAAATGCTTAGGATAAAACACATATAAAAGCAGGAAACATGGGCAATTCATTTTTTTAGAAAATAAAATATTTTATGGAATGAAATATTCCATATATTTGAAAATATATGTTACTGTTGTTACATTATCATTGTAAAAGTTACATGGTAGCAACTTCTACCATGACATTATAAGATACGGTTTATTCTCATGAATATCTAAGAACATAATATATAAGAAGTGATATCATTTATTCTTATACATGTATATATATTCTTATCATGTATCACTCAGAAAACATGAAGTTGTAATTATACACTGGTAGCAACCTCTACCATGACAGTATTAGTTCTAATAACATCCTAATACTACTTTTATCACAGCATATAAATGACACTTCAAAATTATAAAGTATACCAGACACAACTGAATACGAGTTGCCATCATCTAATGAGTCATTAAAGCCTTCCCCTTCCCAGAGCCAGCATGATCCACCTCTGGGATTCTGAACAAAACAACTGTCCTCTGCCAGCTGCTCCTCACCAGCAGTTCAGTGTTTTGTTTTGTGAAGTGATGATGTAAGGTCAAAAGCTGTTCTCCAACCCAAGGAGTTACAGATTGGAAAAACACGTTTCACGTTCTGTTAATGGTTTTTAGACCTGAAACTTTGAGTTTACCCTCTGCTGCAATAACAATGTACGTGTATTTACTTGTCTTTTGCTTCTTATGACGATGAGATTGTTTAATCTATTAACCGTTTAAACTTTAGGTCATGGCTTACTTTGCAGACTCACACATTTGTTCCGTCACATTCTCTAAGAGAAAAATTATTTTGTGAGTGAACCACAACTAGATTTAAAATACTGGCTCAGTGACATGGCCCATTGGTTTACAGAATAAATGAAGTTTAACATTTTTCTCTCACGCTAGAATTATCAACAGATATTTACAAAATAACTTTTCATAAAGCTTTTATAAATATGATCAAAGAATAGCCCCTCTTTGGATACACATAAGCTGTAATGAAGAAGGATAAGGGAAAGGAAACTCACATTTATGGAGCCTTTCTGTATTATTCAGTTCCAAATACTTCTTGATGTTTTGTATTTCCAAACAAAACGTTTACAAACACCCAAACATGCACACAGCTGTATTCAATAGAACTAGAATTGAGGATTGTGTCCCTCCGAAATCCATAGTCCTTCCATTGCACCCAGCAGTGGGAGGAAACGGCACTATTAACACTACCATTAATGCAACTGCAGCTACCACCATGTCAACTTCAACAACAAGGTAAACACTAGCATTCACTCTATTGAGTTCTTCCTATATTTCAGGCAATAATTTTTAACTCATTTCATTTCATTTAATCCTCATGAGCCTCTGAGTTGGGCACCATCATCCTTGGACCCATTTTACAGATGAGGAAATTGTGATTTATTTTATTTTATTATTTTTTTTTTTTTGAGATGGAGTCTTACTCCTTTGCCCAGGCTGGAGTGCAGTGGTGCAATCTCAGCTCACTGCAACCTCTGCCTCTCAGGTTCAAGCAATTCTCCTGCCTCAGCCTCCTGGGTAGCTGGGATTACAGGTGCACGCCACCACATCCAGCTAATTTTTGTATTTTTAGTAGAGACGAGGTTTCGCCATGTTAGCCAGGCTGGTCTCGAACGCCTAACCTCAGGTGATCTGCCAGCCTTGGCCTCCCAAAGTGCTGGGATTACAGACGTGAGCCATCATGCCTGGCCAAGCAAATTGTGATTTGGAGAGTTCATGAGATATTTGCCCAATATTACACAGCAAGTCAGTCAGTTAATGGTGGAGAAGGAATTAAAACCTGTGTCCATTTGACGTCAAAGTTAAGATTCTAAACCACTGCTTAGCAAAACTCAGAATCATCCCTGACAAGTGGATTTCCTTCCTCAGTTTAATAGTCACCTGTGACTGAAAAAATATTTGTCCAGTTGAACCAAGGTGGCTACCATGGAGGCTTCTGTGAGTAGAAAGAAGGTGCAGCTCTACACTTTTAAGAATCTGAATGATAATCAGAAATTCCTGATCATTGCAAACCATGATTATTTAAAGGAAAGAGGAGCATCAGACTCATTTGCAGGTTATTTCAGGATCTGTTATGGCTCATTAGCTTTCTCTTCCCTTTCATTTTGCTTTGACGTCTCTGTGAACATTTGTTCACAATTAATCAAGCCCGCCCAATACAAGGTCAGAGAGAGTGCCTGGGTTGACAAAAACCTACCAGCTCAACGGCTGAAGACAACCCAATGCTTTTTATCCTGCTGATGAGTGGGTTCAGAGAATCTTTTCTATACAAAAATGCTAGCAGTTCATGGTTCCATATGCTGCTTGGGGCTCTCAGCTGGAGCATGACACCTCAGTAGGGACATGGAACTCATTACCTGTTTTCTGCCAGAGGACAGGTGGCCCGATTCCACTCTCTCAATTCCACAATCTCTTGGGCCTTTCATAGCTAGCTGTTTACTAATAACAACCAGCAGTATTGATTGCACAGGATCACAGATGTTGCCAGTGTCCCGCCCATATCCGTCGGCCCCTGCCAAGCCAGTGTACCCCGGCTGATGTCTAACTGCTGCCTCTGCATGTTTGCATCTGAGGAATTTTCTCTAGTACTGCAAGTCCTCCTGTCAGCACGCATGAGGCCAGAGGTGCCAGGGAGCCAGGACCACGGGAGCAGCCCTCTGTCAATGACTCATGAGAAATGCTGTATAAAACTCCAGGCCACACACCCTCCCTCAAAAAGGAGGATTCTGAGGGCTGCTTTTTACACTGTTTCCTAAAGTTTCCATGGGATTAGATGCCTCTTGCTGAGACTTAGTCTTTCCTGCCTGCCTCTTTGTTCCTATGTTACTTCCCTGCTTCCCCAGTGGGGTTTTTTTATACCCTATACAGAAAGTAATTTTCCTTGAATCTCTGTTTTAGTATCTTCACTGGGGAAATACCACAGGTTTTTTTTTTTGTTGTTGTTGTTGTTTGTTGTTGTTTTTTTTTAAGTTTAGGAAGAGAAAGTCAAATCTAAAAAACGTGAAGAAAGCCATATTTGACGAATAAGTGTGTTTAGTGAATTCAGGGAAAAGAAATTCCAGGCAGAGGGAATGGCATTACCAAAGGCGTGGCTGCTGCTCATGGCAGGCTGTTTCCCTGCCTGCCTCTCAGCACAGCATGCAACCCCAATTCATGCCCCCACACTGCCGAGGAATTAGTTTTCTTTTCTTTTTCTTTTTTTTCTTTTTTCTTTTGTTTTGAGAGGGAGCCTCGCTTCATTGCCCAGGCTGGACTGCAATGGCACAACCTCGGCTCACTGCAACCTCCACCTCCCGGGTTCAAGCGATTCTCTTGCCTCAGCCTCCCGAGTAGCTGGGATTACAGGCACCCACCACCATGCCCGGCTAATGTTGTTGGTTTTTTTTTTTTTTTTTTTTTTTTTTTTTGTATTTTTAATAGAGACGAGGTTTCACCATGTGGGCCAGGCTGGTCTCAAACTCCTGACCTCAGGTGATCCAGTTATCTCGGCCTTCCAAAGTGCTGGGATTACAGTTATGAGCCACCGTGCCCGGCCCAGAATTAGTTTTCTTAAGGGACAAAGGGTCAAAGGAGGAGAAATCCTGAACAAAGTAGTGAGGTCTGAAAACTTCATAATGCTTTTTTTTTTTTTTTTTTTTTTGAAATTGACCAGAGATTTAATTCAAGATCATCTTTGCTACCGAGATTCACACATTTTACTACAGAAGATATTGTTCTGAGCTACTAAATAGAAACTGTAAGACCTATCTTCCAGAATTGTTACAAAAACTACATGAGACCATGAAGCTTTGTTGAGATGAAGGTACTGGGGGATTAGTTCTACCTATTTGCTGAGAGATCAGTTCCTCTACCAGCACCTACTCATTTGTGATTAAGAAGACATTGGGGGTTGCTCCTGAAAATTTTAAATTTAGAACTGTACATCCTTACAGTATAATGTCTTTTTGCTCTTACCATGGGCAATCTTGGCAACGTTAATGAATCTCTCATTATCAGATTATCAAATGTGATATTGTAGACTAGATATCAGTCAAGTCTCTGCCAACATTAAAGATTTTTGGATCTTTGCTAAACTTTGGCAATCCTCCAGTGCCCCATAGGGCTCCAAAAATCTAAGTCTAAATGCCTTAGCCTGGCCTTCAAGGCCTTGCCTCATATTCTCCAATCTACTGACTCGCCACTGTCTCTTACACGATCACCAAACACTGCAGCCAATAAGAGTAACTTCCTCCTTGCTAAGCACAACTGGGCCTTCATGCCTCTGCTTTATGGTCATTGCCTTCACCTGCCAGTGAATTCCACCTACCAGGTCATTTCCACCTACCAGTGGCTCCGTCTCAAAGCTTGGCCTCATGTCAGCCTTCTTCCTAGTTCCACTAATCAGGGGCATTGCTCCCTCCTCTCATTTCTCCTGTGCTCCTTGACACGTTTTATCCTGGATTACAGACATTTAAGCTCATATCTAGTCTCCCCTACTAGAATATAAATCCCTGAGTTAATATCATGCTAAGCTTACACTTCTCTAATTCCCCAGAGCGCTGTATCAGTGCACAATGGATGCAGTAAATGCTCTATAAATATTAGTAAGAAAAAATGTAATAGTACCTGCATCTACTTCCCTGGAATTCCCATAAGGTATCAGCAGTTAGGGAGCATTTTAATTCCGTCTTCATGAGAGTCTCTCAGGAATGTATTTAAGTCTTCTGGTTTCTAAGGGGAGAAAAAAAAAGAAATCTCAGTTTCCTCATCAGATAATAATAGTGCATGCATTTTCTGCTTTATAACCTTTAAAGAAACCATCATCTAATTAATTCAGCCTGGAGATTGGCATAGGAAAAGTGCTCAGTGCACCTTAAAATATTTAACTAAAATTAGCCTTATTTTTATGTTCCAATTGATTATTAAACAATAATTGATATTGACATTAAATGGTCACCTTAACACCGTATATAATAGGAATTACATGTAATTATACATATTATGTAATCCTACATATTAAGTCTATTCTATAAAGTGGTTGCCAGGGTCTTCTTGATGGGATGTCAGGAATGAAAGTCCAGAGTTTCCAAAATATTTAAAGATCCACCTACAAGAGCCTGTTCTGACTTCCACTTTCCAGTCTGGCCTGTAAGAGGCTCAGAAGTGTCCCCTTCATCCTAGTAAGTACAAAACTGAAAAAACTGAAAATTCTCATCGTTCAGCTCCCGCTTATAAGTGAAAACATGCGGTGTTTGGTTTTCTGTTCCTGAGTTAGTTTGCTGAGGATAATAGCTTCCAGCTTCATCCATGTTCCTGCAAAGGACATAATCTCAATAGTTTTCACGGTTGCATAGTATTCCATGGTGTACATGTACCACATTTTCTTTATCCAGTCTGTTGTTGATGGACATTTGGGTTGATTCCATGTCTTTGCTGTTGTGAATAGTGCTGCAATGAACATACACGTACATGTATCTTTGTAATAGAATGATTTAGATTCCTTTGGGTCTATACCCAGTAATGGGATTGCTGGGTCAAATGGTATTCCTGGTTTTGGCCCTGTCGTGGAGGGGGTGGCATGTGGGGAGGGAGAGTATTAGGAAAAATAGTGAATGCATGCTGGGCTTAATACCTAGGTGATGGGTTGATAGGTGCAGCAAGTCACCATGGCATACATTTACCTATGTAACAAACCTGCACATCCTGTGCATGTACCCCAGAACTAAAAATAAAAATTACATTTTTAAAAAACTGAAAAATTGTCACCTCTTCTTAGAGCTGTCAGAGAAGTGAGGGCACAGGGTACACTGCGGCCCCCAAAATCGGAGAAAGAGACAGGACCCAGAGAATCACAACTTACCCAAGCCGAAATCTACCAGCAGAAGCCTCTGCAGGAACAGAGCCAGGATGGGAAAACCTGAGCTGTGACTGATGAATGGCTGGAGGCTCGGTGTGGACGAGTCAGGATAAAAACTCTAGGGAGACTGAGTCACAGGCAGGCTCCCACATTTTGTGAGATTTACCTCCAGGAGCTCGACCAGGTCCTCACAGTGAATATTAGAGAAAATCCCCCAGTGCTTCTGGCAGGGAGAAAGGAAAAGGAACCATTTTGAAATACACCAGAGCCTTCTGCTCTTCTTAATGAGGTCTGCTCTCAGGAGAAACTCATTAACAGAGGCTAACCTACTGGGGTTTTATGAGAGTCTGGCTCTCCTGGGCAAAGGGATGTACCCAACTCCAGGCCACTCCAGCCATCCTGTATCACCTCAGGGAGGGAACCCGAGAGCTTATGAAGCTCAGAGTCTGGGGAAGAGGCTCACCAGACACTAAGACCTCATCATGGGGCTGTAGGACAGTTCCTCCCGCTGCACACCTTGTAAGCAGATAGCTAAAGACCTACTTACATTTTTTTTTTTTACATTGCGTCATGTTCACCTTGCTTCTTTTTTAAAATTTAGTTTTAATTGACAAATAAAAATGATTTCTATTTATCATGTATTAATAAAACATGATGGTATTTTATTGTGGTTCCTGTTTTTTAAATTTATTAGTATTATTATTATTATTTTGAGAAGGAGTCTAGCTCTGTTGCCCAGGGTGGAGTGCAGTGATGTGGTCTCAGCTCACTGCTACCTCCACCACCCAGGTTCAAGCGATTCTCCTGCCTCAGTCTCCCAAGTTGCTGGGATTACAGGCGCCTGCCCAGCTAATTTTTTGTATTTTTAGTAGAGACAGGGTTTCACCATGTTGGCCAGGCTGGTCTCGAACTCCTGTCCTTGTGATCCACCTGCCTCAGCCTCCCAAGTGCCGGGATTACAGGTATGAGTCACTGCGCCTGGCCAGTTGCTGTTATTTTTGAGATGAGGTCTCACTCTGTCACCCAGGCTAGAGTTCAGTAGTGTGATCTTGGCTCACTGCAGCCTCCAGCTCCCTGGCACCATTGGGGTGGACCTGTTGATTGGGTCCACAGGGATGGGTCTGGAGCCTATAGCCTGGCACTATGGCAGACTTGCAGTCTGAATCCATGGCGGCAGGCAGGCCTGGGTCCTGAGTCCATGGAGGCTGGCTTGGTGCCTGTGTCTGCAGGAGTGGTCCTGGGATCTTGGTTTGTCAGGGCTGGCTTATTACTAGAGTTTATTGAAGTAGGACTAGACCCTGGGTCTGCCAGAATACACCTGGACCCTGGGTCCTCTAGAGCCTGAGGCCCCAAGGACTGGCCTGGAGCTAGACAGTGGAATATTATGTAGCACTGAAAAGTAATGAGCTATCATGCCATAAAAAGACATGAAGGAAACAAAAATATATATAACCAAGTAAAACAAGTCAATATAAAAAGGCCACATATACATAATTTAATTATATAACATTTTGGAAATGTGAAAATGGTGGTAGAGCAGGGGTCCCCAAGCCCTGAGCCATGGACCAGTACTGGCCCGTGGCCTATTAGGAATTGGGCCACACAGCAGGAAGTGATCCCAGGGTGAGTGAACGAAGTGTCATCTGTATTTACAGCCACTCCCCATGGCTCACATTACTGCCTGAGCTCCGCCTACTGTCAGGTCAGCTATGGTATTAGATTCTCATAGGAGCGTGAACCCTATTGTGAACTACACATGCGAGGGATCGAGGTTGTACATGCCTTATGAGAATCTAATGGCTGATGATTTGTCACTGTCTCCCATCATCCTCAAATGGGGCTGTCTAGTTGCAGGAAAACAAGCTCAGGGATCCCACTGATTCTACATTATGGTAAGTTGTAGAATTATTTTCTTCTGTATTACAATGTAATAATAATAGAAATAAAGTACACAATAAATAAAATGGGCTTGAATCATCCTTAAACTACACCCCCTTCTCAGCCCATGGAAAAATTGTCTTCCACAAAACCAGTCCTTGGTGCCAAAAAGGTTGGGGACTGCTGTAGCAGGACACCAAAAATTTTTATGGCAATAAAGCTACTCTGTATGACACTATAATGTTAGATTTATGTCATACTACATTTATCAAAACACACAGAATATGCAACATCAAGAGTGAACTCTAATGTAAATTCTGAGCTTTAGATGATAATGATGTGTCAATATAGTTTCATTGATTGTAACAAATGTACCACTCAGCGTGGTATATTGATAGTGAGGGAGGTTGTGCATGTGTGGGAGCAGGAGGTATATGGAAATTCTCTGTACATTCTGTTCAATTTTGCTGTGAACTTAAAACTGCTCTAAAGAAATAAAGTGATTTCTTTAAAGCATGTTCTATCAGCTAAAATTATTGCCATTCGTTGTAGAATTAATTTCTTTGAAATCTTTGTATCATCACAATCTTTTATTAAAATTAAAATTAAAATATTACTTGTAAAAAAGCCACTCATTATAAAATTAAACTTCAACCCATAAAGAGATTGAATTTGTTATGGATATCATATGATGTAATTGTCACCTATGCAGATTTGAATAATTGTGAATAATAAGGGAATAATTAACCATAAGAAAATGGGCTCCAATATCTCCAACTAGCCAAAAGAAGATGAGAAAGTGATTATAAGATTGCAACAAAAGACCATCCACATATAAATTAGTGCTATTACTCAGCATTCTAAATGCTCTTTAGCAGGTTTGTGAAAATCCATAAATTCTTCTTATTTAGAATTTTATGTATATTTCTTTTAGAGAGTGAATGCTTTTAGTCTGATAATACATCTTTAAGTGAGATGACAGGTTTTTAATGTTATACTAAATAAAAGCCATTGGATAAAGTTTTTATGAATCCACACTTTATATTTTTCAAGTTTTAAACACTAGTTATTCACTTTTATGCTGCTGGTAGGAATGTAAACTAGTGCAACCACTGCAGAAAACAGTGTGGAGATTCCTTAAAGAACTAAAAGTAGAACTACCATTTGATCCAGCAATCCCACTCCTGGGTATCTACCCAGAGGAAAAGAAGTCATTATATGAAAAAGATGCTTGCACATGCATGTTTATAGCAGCACAATTCGCAACTGCAAAAATATGGAACCAGCTCAAATGCCCATCAATCAACCAGTAAATAAAGAAAAGGTGATATATATATATATATATATATATATATATATATATATATAGCTAGATAGATAGATTTAGATAGATAGATATAAATAGATAGATACATAGATAGATACATAGATACATAGATAGATACATAGATAGACACACCCGCATACCCTGGAATACTACTCAACCATAAAAAGGAACAAAATAATGGTATTTGCAACAAACTGATTGGAATGCAGACCATTATTCTAAGGAAACTAACTCAGGAATGGAAAGTCAAACATTGTATGCTTTCATTCATAAATGGGAGCTAAACTATGAGGATGCAAAGGCATAAGAATGATACGATGGACTTTGGGGACTCGGGGAAAAGGGCAGGAGGGAGGTGAGAGATAAAAGACTACACATTGGGTACAGTGTACACTGCTCAGGTGATGGGTGCACCGAAATCTCAGAAATCATCACTAAAGAACTATTCATGTAACCAAACACCACCGACTCCCCCAAAACCTATTGAAATACAAAAAAAAATTTAAAATAAGCACTAGGCCAGGTGCGGTGGCTCACACCTGTAAGCCCAGCATTTTGGGAGGCTGATAAGGTGGGCAGATCATGAGGTCAAGAGACTGAGACCCTCCTGGCCAACATGGTGAAACTCCTGTCTTTACTAAAAATACAAAAATTAGCTGGGCGTGGCAGCACGCACTTGTAGTCCCAGGTACGCGTGAGGCTGAGGCAGGGGAATCACTTGAACCTGGGAAGCAGAGGTTACAATGAGCCAAGATCGCGCTACTGCACTCCAGCCTGGTGACAAGGTGAGACTCTGTCTCAAAAAATAATAATAATAAAATAAAAATAAACACTAGTTATTGCTGTAGTTGTTCCAGCAATTCTGTTTGGGTTACTTTTATATGAAATGAGAGGAATTAGTTAAAATCATCACAAATAATTCTCAAGAACAAGTAGTTCTTTTTCTAGATCTTAAACAGAATTGGACCACATAGAGCTTCAACGCAAAGTTATAAAACAAATGCTTTCACTTTAGAATTTCCATATGAAGTCTTGGAGCAGTTACAGTATATTCTAGAATGTGGTAGATTCACAATTTCTTTGAAGAATGTACATTCAGGTGACTTTGCTTATAGTTGCTTACCAGTTATAATTTAATAGGTATACATTAAAATAGTGGGATTTTAAAAACATGTTCAAATATTCAGGAAAGAGATGTTTGTCCTGCTTTTTAAATAATGTTTATTTTTTAAATTATTCAAATATTATAAAAATAATTGTGTATATAAAGTTTGAAAAGTATGCCAGCAAGAAACTAGAACTTTAAGAGAGTAATATTCAAAAGGTTACTGCAGAGCAACCACATGATATGTATATGATTTTATATTGAAAATAAATATTTCATTTCATTTCTCATCCAGAGAAAATTGTAGCTATGCTATTGACAAGAAAAGGCAGAAGTGTTTCAGAATAACTTGACACATCAAAATATCTTCTTTATTGATAGTGGCTGAAAAGGTGAAACTGTTTGCTTAATTAGTGGGAGAAGGAAGAGTGTTAGGTATAAGTCCAAAAGTGTTGAAAGTGTGAGAAAATAAATAATTTTGAGATAAAAATTAAAGACAAAAAATCTGTGCCTGAAAGAGTTGAAAGTGGAAAAATACTAGATCTTGATGAAAATGGTAAAGAAAGCAAAAAATAAAATCTAAAATGCTGCAAAGAACCTGACCCCAATTTCCTCTCAAATTACTGAGTTGTATCATTCCTGTATCTCTGGATGACATACTCACTAGGGTGTTAAGGGATTAGCTAATGAAGTTACTGGAACACTGGCAATTATTTTTGAAAAGTCTTCTAGAAATGGGAAGATGAGATGTTGAAGGACTATAGAAAAACTGAAGCAATTGTATTTCTGGTATTCAGAAAGTAGGAGAGCAGTAATCCATAAGCTCATTGGACAGTTAGTTCAACTTTAATCTTTGATTAAAAAAAAAAAAAAGAAAGAAAGAAAGAAAAATCTTTCACCACCTGTATCATTCAGCAATTTAAAAAAAAAATTTAAGGAATTTATGACAGTCAGCAACCTGTGTCCAGGCAGGGAAATGAGGTACGGGGAATTTGGGTTTCTCAATAGATAGATAAGAATCTAATGGTGTCGAGGCCGAGACACAGGAGGGATATTGTGGTGACATCATTTTATTATAACACAAAAAGGACCTGATGCTTTGAAATTACTGAGGTATTTAGAGTTCACATTTGTTTAGATATGAGCATTCTTTTACGAGTGTAGAGTTGACAAGGCATTCAGGACAAAGAAAAATGAGAAATGATATGACATCATTTCAAGTGCGGAAGATAAGTCCAGAGAAACTCTACAGATTGATTGATTGATTGAGGGCTCTTTGAATGTGACGTCTTCTCAAACCATCTGAGACTGAGTAGAAAACAAATATTAATAACATTTGCAGATGATACGTGAGGGTGAGTGTTACAAACACCAGTCATGACTAAGGCAAAATTAATACCTTTTTAAGGCCCACAGGGAATTGAAAAATGTGGAAGACCTAACAAATGAGGTCCAACTTGGAAAGTATGAGCTGACATATCAGGAGAAGAATATTCTGAAGCAGAGACCAACAGAAGGAAGCTAAAGTTAAAGATGGAAAAGGATTTTGCTAAAGAATGTTTTAAAGTCTACATAGCTTCCAAGGTGGTTTCTAGGTAGCCCAATGGGAAAACTCCACTGTGTGTTTATCCCATCCCATTCAAAACTCGGTATATTAGTTCATTCTTGCATTCCTGTAAAGAAATACCTGAGACTGTGTAATTTATAAGAAAAGGGGTTTCATGGGCTCCTGGTTCTGCAGGCTGTACAGGAAGCATGGAGGCATCTGCTTCTGGGGAAGCCTCAGGAAGCTTCCAAACATGGCGGAAGGCAAAAGGGGAACAGTCATGTCACATAGCAAAAGCAGGAGCAAGAGAGCAAGGGGGAAGGTGCTACACCCTTTTTTTTTTTTTTTTTTTTTTTTTTTTTTTGAGATGGAGTCTGGCTCTGTCTCCCAGGCTGGAGTGCAGTGGCGTGATCTCGGCTCACTGCAAGCTCTGCCTCCTGGGTTCTGGCCATTCTCCTGCCTCAGCCTCCCTAGTAGCTGGGACTACAGGTGCCCGCCACCACACCTGGCTAATTTTTTTGCATTTTTAGTAGAGACGGGGTTTCACCGGGTTAGCCAGGATGGTCTCCATCTCCTGACCTCGTGATCCGCCCACCTCGGCCTCCCAAAGTGTTGGGATTACAGGCGTGAGCCACTGCGCCCGGCTGGTGCTACACACTTAAACGACCAGATCTCTCACGAGAAGTCACTCACTATCAAGAGGATGGTAGCAAGGCGGATGCTGCTAAACCGTATTTGAGAGATCCACACCCACAGTCCAATTACTCCCTACCATGCCCCATTACCAACATTGGGAATTACATTTCAATATGAGATTCGGGCAGGGACACACGTGCAAACTATATCACTTGGTCATATTTCAATAGTTATCTCCAGAAAATGATTAAGAGGAGAGTTTATATTAACGATGAAAATGTGCACAAATATTTGAATTGGTGGTTTTAGTGTTTCACACATTTTTCTATTTTTTGAAAGATGCCCTGTGCTTTTAAAATTAATACATAACTAAATGACTGATGTAACCCATCAATCCTGAATTAACTGAATACATCTTAAAGTGGTATACACCATTCTAGTTGCTTAGAATAATAGGTTATTATGACATAGTCCCTACCCTCAAGAAGCTCAAAATCTAAGATATGGTGGAAATAGGGGGTGGGGATGGGGGCATATCTTAGAGACATTCATTAACCTATAAGGTCTCTTTTGCTCATTTGTGGCTGACTCCTCCATATATATGCATAGGTATGAAGGCTACCTACTGTATAGATTCATGGGTGAATTTATGCAATCTGTGAGCATGACATTAATCAACCTCAGAGTTAAATTACAAAGCACACTATATAGTTCCATGAGACTACTGTGTTTTTGTTTTTATTTTTCATTTTATTAAATAAGTTAGGGTGTATTTGTGTAGCTAAGTTAGGGTGAGAAAACAATCATACTGTATTTTCAACTCCAAGAACCTTTGATGTTTCTACAGTTTCTAACTATGATCAAGAGTGACTTGGAAATAATCCTTATATTTAGTTTTCTTCATATAGGGTAAATGAAAAAGAACTATCCAAAGTACCCACTCCTCAATGAGATGCTGGTTGGGTGACAAGGCATGTATGCACCGTAAGAGCTGTATATTTGAAGTTTAGAAGTCTTCTCTGCAGAAAGGGAAGCATCTGTGTTGACCTTTCCAGGGTTCTCATTCTTCCTCTGCAAATAAGTCTAGGAATTTCCTGGAGATGAAACCACTGGCTCTGGAAATCTGGCATAATACAGACTATAGATATCAAAAGTGCATCCTCCATTTTGTCAGAAAACTCCCCTTCTTTCTTAGGTCCCTGGAAACATTCATTTACCTGGTGAATTTCTGCTTTTATTAAGCAGACTTCCAAACATTTGGAAGTCAGGGTCCGATGACTCCATGGGGCAATTAGACATTTCTCAGTGGTTAATTGGCAGAAGAGGAAATTGTTGGTTAATCATGTAGCTAGAAACCAAACTCAGGTTTGGCTTCAGAGACCATGATCTGAAGCTGCCCCCAAATTTGTCTCTCACATCCACTTTGAACCTTACATACTTTCTATGAATCCATTTGCTCATATCCCTAAACCCTGGACAACTTTCCTGAGAGTCTCCAGCAAAAGGCAGAACATAGCTGATTCCTTCCAATGGAGATTTTTCTCCATAACCAGAAACCTGAACTTCTGCAGAGGTTAGACATACCCGAGGAAGCCTATCTGTATCCTGTAAGACTTCAGGGCTAATTCCACAGCCCCAGTCTCCCCATGGGCTTAACGACATTGAGTAGTTTATAACTTTAAGAAAAGTTGGGCCAGGAGCGGTGGCTCATGCCTGCAACCCCAGCACTTTGGGAGGCCAAGGCGGGCAGATCACATGAGGTCAGGAGTTCAATACCAGCCTGACCAACATGGAGAAACCCCGTCTCTACTGAAAATACAAAAGTAGCCGGGTGTGGTGGCACATGCCTGTAATCCCAGCTACTCAGAAGGTGGAGGCAGGAGAATCGCTTGAACCCGGGAGGCAGAGGTTGCGGCGAGCCAAGATCGCACCATTGCGTTCCAGCCTGGGCAAAAAGAGCAAAACTCTGTCTCAAAAAAAAAAAAAAGAAAGAAAGAAAGAAAAGAAAAGTTAAATCCAGTGTGCCAGTGTCTTTGTTCTGCAGACCCAGCACCCAAGAAAGAAACTCAAAAGCATCTGTCCAATCTCCCATTATAATCCCCATTGTGTTCTGTGTCTCTCTTCTCCTAACTCAAAGTCACTGCTCTCTTTCCAAGTTTTCTCTCCTGTTCTGTGAAATTGTCCCTGATACACTCCTGTCCATCATTTCTCTCTTCAGTAAAGAGTACGTTTCTCTCTTGGTGTTGTGAAAAACTTGGCTTGCTGGACAGCATATCATTATTTTTTGCCTCTAAGAGTTTGACTTGAGTCATAGAGGTATTTTGTGGCTCATCCTCTAGGTTTTCTGTCTCTCATCCCTTTCACTGCTGTAATTAGCAGATTTTCATCAATAGTCCTCATTTCCTAAAGATGTTGATACCAGACTTCTGATTTTCCTCTATCCTGAAGTTCTTCATCATCCCAAGACAGTCCCTTGTCTATTCAACACTTAGGATCTTCTTCAGTGACCTGCTCTTCCATTTACTGAAACGACCCTCTGCCTTGGCTACACCTTAACTCAGCCATTACTCGGCAGAGCCAAATTTCATAACACTATGATTATGTGTGAAAAACTCAGCATTAAACACACACACACACACACACAAACACACACACTGGCTTTGGCAGAATGGGACAAGAGATGTTTTCTTCTTTGAAAGAAGGACAATAAGGGTTACTAGACTATAGAAATATTTTCCTTACCATTGAGTAGCTTATAAGACATATAAGAAATGGGTAGTGTAATTATACCCCTATATTTTCCTTAATCAGAAAATTAAAAACAATAATAACAACAAAAACAACTTCTTATATGCAGGTTGAGCCTGCATATGAACTTAGGGTCTCCCTAATAAGAACTCTAAAATAATGGGAGATAAATTAAGATTCAGGGTATCTGGGGACCAGGCCCAGTGACCATGTCATTTTCATTTAATCTAGGACCATTTTGAAAAAAGGAGAATGCGTATGAATAATTATGCTATGACTATAGATGCAAATTGGGTCTGTTCTGAAAAAAAGAGGGAATATATGGCTTAGGTGACAATTTTTAAGGATAATAGGACATATAGCCCAGAAGTGCTCCAAAGTATATACCCCATCCTACTTAGGCATTATGGGGACCATGAACTTCAGCACCTAAAACATCCTCTGATTATACCACTACTACAAATCTCATCATATTGCTGCTTTGCTTGAAATCCTTTAATAGTTTCTCACTTCCTGCAGTTAACATGACATAGAAGGCCATCCATAACCTGCCCTTCTTCCAAATTTTCTGCTACAGTATTATTAATATTATTATTACTATTACTACTTATAGCCTGACATACTACACTAAAGCCATACTGAACAGCCTTCTAAACCTTTGTTCACTCCTTTACCTTTTAGGTTTTTTTCACATGTTATTCTATCTTCTTGCAACTATTTTAACTTAATCATTTTCACTCGGTCAATTCATCACCCATCAAATCTCACCTTCAAAGTCACTTCTGCCAGAAACTGTCCTTATTCCCACTTGAACTAAATTAGCTGGCTTGTTCGTGCTTCCTCGACACTGTATATCTCCTCTAAGAGTGTGGCACAATTTATAGAGACTGCATATTTAGTTTTTGTCTTTTTCATTATGAAGGAAACTCCCTAAAATCAAAGGCAATTTTCAACATTGTTTCTCTAGTACCGGATTTAAGGAGAAGTCTATTGAAAGATTAAGCACACACTTAGTTGAACACTTACTGTGTGTCTGGCATTTCATCTTCTAACTGTCCCTATAAAATAAATATTACTAATTCTATTGTAGAGATGAGGACATTTGGACAGGGAAATTTAAAAAATTACCGGAGTTTACACAGCTAGTAAGCAGAGCAGCCAAAATGCAAATATTCATGTTTTCAAAAGTTTGGAGGCTTCCTGTGTGGAGGATCTAATCCCTTAGTTTGTGTGTGAAGGGCATTAATTAGAACTCTAAGTTATAACCATTTCAGTATAAGGCATATGTAGAACAAGTTCAATATGAAGTAGAACTTAAAGAAAACAGATATAAAAAATTATTAGCTTTGTGAAGTAGTGAGTTCTCCATCATTGGAAGAGTGTAAACTAAGGCTGGTTAGCCTTGTGGTCAGGGATATTTAGAGGACTTTCCCAAATTGGTTGGAAAGATAGTGAGCTGACGAGGTAGGACTCTAAGAGTCCATGAAAATAATTGTGTGACACTCTAAGGGCAATTGAATGACTGCTCAGCTCAAAGACGAAGCAGTCTTAGAGATGACCTGCAATTTTAGTACTTATCAGGCAATCTTTAGCTGCTGTAAATCCTACCCAGTGGGCTGGCATCATAGACCTTCTTTCCACTTACTTTGCCGACATCCAAACTTAATTGGAACCTAAATGTTTTCCCCGTAGAGCTCTTATCTCCCAAACCAACTGCTTAATCTATTTTGGCAGATCCAGGCTTCATCATTCTTCAGGGAGCTGTAAAAATGCCTTTAAAAAAAATCAGCCCACTCCAATGGGACAGCCTAGTGACAGGCTTCATGTTCTATTCTGAAAATTTTCTCTTGCATGGTTATTATATTAAGATGCAATAATTTCTAATGTGTCTTGGAGTTTTAATGTCATTTTATGATGTTTGAACACTAAGGCTATTTCTATAATTGTCAAATTAATCTGATCAATAAAGAAATCACTAATGTCTCTTTAAAACTGTGCAAAACAATACTACAGCAGTTTTTCAAATGAGATGAAATAGGTTGAGTCTTCAGTGATGAGGACAAATGGTAGCATTCCAGAGTCAGAAAAAGACTTCCCTTAAATCTCGCTTCCTGCCCCAGATTCATTTGCTGGGAAGAAATTATCTGATTATTAATTAATCATATTAATTATCATAGAATAATAATCATAATAATTAATATGATTATCAGAAAGATGAGTGTTGAAAGTTCCAAACAGATAAACCATTTTAAAACCTAGAAACCACTGAAATGTAATAATAAAACAATAACTAGGATTTATAGAATTCCATATCTCATATCTACTTCTTCCTTGTCAATGTTATACACTGTCTTTTCTGGACTATTATCCAAGCCAAAGTAATATACATGAGCACTGGAAAAAATTCCCTTATTGCAGGGTCATTTTTAAGCAATAGTAAGTTCATCTGTTTGAACAGGCAGCCAATATCAGGAAATCTTTAGGCTCCCAACTTAAGTGAGCTTTTATTATATAATCTATTTCTGCATAAAGAAAATGGAAGATATTCTTATAAAATTTAAGGAAAATATCTTTCCTAATAAATATGAAAAAGATAAACCAAGCTCTTTTGTACATTTAATTTTGGAATTTATTATAATTAATACTTATTGTAAATACCTCCAAGTCTTAAAATAGTTCAGTATTAAAGTCTTTTCACATAGGTATTCTTTGATCATTATGCACTTCATGTTTTCATCTGTTGTGAACTTTTATGTTGTCCTCAAAAGAGGAAAGTTACAGAATTTAAGAGAGAAATACTTGTCTAATTATGAGAACAGTCTCTAAAAGTAGGAATGCATGCTCCCAATATTATTTATTACTTTTGTGCATTTGCTGGGCTCAACATGGATGTCAAGGATTATAAGAGCAGTGCCAGCCTTCTTATCGGAACTTCTGGGTAAAACTATTAGTTTTATTTTATAACCTACAAAATGAATGTACATGATTCTCAAATAAACAAGGTGATCATAATTATCAAAGCTATGACTCTAGATGTCTACATCCTTATTGTGATATATTTTTATTTAGTCCGTGTATTTGCTATAAATTGCTTATGCTTGTGTATATGCACATACATAAATAGCAAATATGTTATATATATATATATATATATATATATATATATATATATAAAACATGTAACAAAAATAGAAGAATGAAAGGGTATATTAGTCCGTTCTCATGCTGCTGATAAAGACATACCGAAGAGGGTAATTTATAAAAGAAAGAGGCTTAATTGACTCACAGTTGAGCACGGCTGGGGAGGCCTCAGGAAACTTACAATCATCACAGAAGGGGAAGCAAACACATCCTTCTTCACATGGTGGCAGGAAGAAGTGCCAGCAAAAGTGGGGAAAGCCCCTTGTAAAACCATCAGACCTTGTGAGAATTCAATCACTATCACCAGAACAGCAGCATGGCAGTAACCACCCCCATGATTCAATTACGTCCCACAGGGTCCCTCCCATGACGCATGGGGTTTATGTGAACTACAATTCAAGATGAGATTTGGGTGGGGACACACCCAAACCATATCAAAGGGAGATAGAGCAGGAGCAAAAAAGAGCTCACATACTTAATATGGATCTACTTTTTATGGATTGATTATCTGAGATGTTAAAGTGCTTGAAAATATTATGTGCTGTCTTTGGTAAGGTGGTCATTAACTCAGATGTTGTGGATGCTCCCTAGACTGGTGGATTAGATTAAATATGCCTGATTCACATAAGGTTTATGCAGGTGCCTTGGGTTACTGTCTACCTGTGACCTTACCAGGTACTAGGACTGTTGTGTCTACACTAATTGCCACCTCTCTTCCTATGGTTTAATGTATGTATTATTATTTAGAGATGGGGTCTCACTATGTTTTCCAGGCTGGTCTCAAAATCCTGGCCTCAAGAGATCTTCCTTCCTAGGCTTCCCAAACTGCCGAGTTTACAAGTGTGAGGCACCATGCCCAACCCGTATGGTTATAACTGTAAAACATGTAAACCACAGTTCTATTTTATTATTTTATGGAACATAACTTCTAGGAGCTTCATTTTCTCCTAGTTTGGTAAAAAACAGCATGGGTTGGAGGAATAAAATGTTGCAAGAAAAGAGACCTGTGGCATTTTCCAGTCATCAGTGGAAGAATACCTGTGGGTTCAGTTTTTCCCTTTATTGTCAGAGACCCAGGACACCAGCAGAGAATTGAGAAGCCTCCATTCCACTTTCCAGCACTTTTAAAAGATCTCTACACATGAGAGTTTTTCCAGATATTACTGCCGAGGGCCACACTGAACATAGTTGGCTGCTCTGAAGAGCCAAAAACACAAGACTCTAGGGAATAACAGTGCATCTGATTTGCCATCCACAAGGAGCTTTAAAGGCAGATGAAGGTGGGATGGGAGAAATGAATAAAAACACTGTTATTTTGGAAAGCAACTTGGAAGATGCTTTGGTGGAGTGAAGATGGATTTCATATAAATATATGCAAAAATCCCCATACAAGCCCTGAATCTCCTACCCAAGGTATTCATAAAACAATAAAACAGAAACAAATGAAAACACTCACTGCTTCATATGTTGCTTACCTAACCTAACTATTCATAGTGCTTGAAGATTGGGCCAGGTGCAGTGGCTCACACCTGTAATCCCAGCACTTTGGGAAGCTGAGGCAAGAGAGGACTGCTTGAGGCTGGGAGTTCAAGACCACCTTGTGTAACATAGTGAGACTCTGTCTATAAAAAACAAAAAAATTCAATGATAGTGCTTGAAGATCTACTGATGCAGAGTTATGCCCTGGATTTTGAAAAACAAACAAGATGGCCAAATAGGAACAGCTCCAGTCTATAGCTTCCAGCATGAGCAATGTGGAAGATGGGTGATTTCTGCATTTCCAACTGAGGTACCAGGTTCATCTCACTGGGGAGTGCCGGACAGTGGGTGTAGGGCAGTGGGTGCAGCGCACCGTGTGTGAGCCAAAGCAGGGTGAGGCATCACCTCACCTGGGAAGTGCAAGGGGTCAGGGAATTCCCTTTCCTAGTCAAAGAAAGGGGTGACAGACGGCACCTGGAAAATCAGGTCACTCCCACCCTAATACTGCGCTTTTCCAAGTGGTTTAACAAATGGCACACCAGGAGATTATATCCCGCACATGGCTCAGAGGTTCCTACGCCCACAGAGCCTCGCTCATTGCTAGCACAGCAGCCTGAGATCAAACTGCAAGGTGGCAGCGAGGCTGGGCTGTGGGAGGGGCGCCCACCATTGCCGAGGCTTGAATAGGTAAACAAAGCAGCCAGGAAGCTCGAACTTGGTGGAGCCCACCACAGCTCAAGGAGGCCTGCCTGCCTCTGTAGGCTCCATCTCTGGGGGCAGGGAACAGACAAACAAAAGGCAGCAGTAACCTCTGCAGACTTAAATGTCCCTGTCTGACAGCTTTGAAGAGAGTACTGGTTCTCCCAGCAGGCAACTTGAGATCTGAGAACGGGCAGACTGCCGCCTCAAGTGGATCCCTGACCCCCGAGTAGTCTAACTGGGAGGCACCCCCCAGTAGGGGTGGACTGACACCTCACGTGGCTGGGTACTCCTCTGAGACAAAACTTCCAGAGGAATGATCAGGCAGCAGCATTTGCGGTTCACCAATATTCACTGTTCTGCAGCCACCACTGCTGATACCCAGGCAAACAGGGTCTGGAGTGGACCTCCAGCAAACACCAACAGACCTGCAGCTGAGGGTCCTGATTGTTAGAAGGAAAACTAACAAACAGAAAGGATATCCACACCAAAAACCCATCTGTACATCACCATCATCAAAGACCAAAGGTAGATAAAACCACAAAGATGGGGAAAAAACAGAGCAGAAAAACCAGAAACTCTAAAAATCAGAGCGCCTATCCTCCTCCAAAGGAACACAGCTCCTCACCAGGAAGGAACAAAGCTGGACGGAGAATGACTTTGACGAGTTGAGAGAAGGCTTCAGAAGATCAAACTACTCCGAGCTGAAGGAGGAAGTTTGAACCAATCACAAAGAAGTTAAAAACCTTGAAAAAAAATTAGACAAATACCATGGCACAAGAACTATGTGACGAATGCACAAGCCTCAGTAGCTGATGCGATCAACTGGAAGAAAGGGTATCAGTGATGGAAGACGAAAGGAATGACATGAAGCGAGAAGTTTAGAGAAAAAAGAATAAAAAGAAATGAACAAAGCCTCCAAGAAATATGGGACTATGTGAAAAGACCAAATCTGCGTCTGATTGGTGTACCTGAAAGTGACAGGGAGAATGGAACCAAGTTGGAAAACACTCTGCAGGATATTATCCAGGAGAACTTCCCCAATCTAGCAAGGCAGGCCAACATTCCGATTCAGGAAATACAGAGAACGCCACACAGATACTCCTTGAGAAGAGCAACTCCAAGACACATAATTGTCAGATTCACCAAAGTTGAAATGAAAGAAAAAATGTTAAGGGCAGCCAGAGAGAAAGGTCGGGTTACCCACAAAGAGAAGCCTATCAGACTAATAGCTGATAGCTCGGCAGAAACTCTACAAGCCAGAAAAGAGTGGGGGCCAATATTCAACATTCTTAAAGGAAAGAATTTTCAACCCAGAATTTCATATCCAGCCAATCTAAACTTTGTAAGTGAAGGAGAAATAAAATACTTTACAGACAAGCAAATGCTGAGAGATTTTGTCACCACCAGGCCTGCCCTAAAAGAGCTCTTGAAGGAAGCACTAAACATGGAAAGGAACAACCAGTACCAGCCACTGCAAAAGCATGCCAAATTGTAAAGACCACCAAGGCTAGGAAGAAACTGCATCAACTAACAAGCAAAATAACCAACTAACATCATAATGACAGGATCAAATTCACACATAACAATATTAAACTTAAATGTAAATGGGCTAAATGCTCCAATTAAAAGACACAGACTGGCAAATTGGATAAAGAGTCAAGACCCATCAGTGTGCTGTATTCAGGAAACCCATCTCACATGCAGAGACACACATAGGCTCAAAATAAAGGGCCTGATGGAGGAAGATCTACCAAGCAAATGGTAAACAAAAAAAGGCAGGGGTTGCAATCCTAGTCTCTGATAAAACAGACTTTAAACCAACAAAGATCAAAAGAGACAAAGAAGGCCATTACATAATGGTAAAGGGATCAATTCAACAAGAAGAGCCAACTATCCTAAATATATATGCACCCAATACAGGAGCATCCAGATTCATAAAGCAAGTCCTTAGTAACTTACAAAGAGACTTAGACTCCCACACAATAATAATGGGAGACTTTCACACCGCACTGTCAACATTAGACAGATCAACGAGACAGAAAGTTAACAAGGATATCCAGGAATTGAACTCAGCTCTGCACCAAGTGGACTTAATAGACATCTACAGAACTCTCCACCCCAAATCAAGAGAATATACACTATTTTCAGCACCACACCACACCTATTCCAAAATTGACCACATAGTTGGAAGTAAAGCACTCCTCAGCAAATGTAAAAGAACAGAAATTATAACAAACTATCTCTCAGACCACAATGCAATCAAACTAGAACTCAGGATTAAGAAACTCACTCAAAACCGCTCAACTACCTGGAAACTGAACAACCTGCTCCTGAATGACTACTGGGTACATAACAAAATGAAGGCAGAAATAAAGATGTTCTTTGAAACCAACGAGAACAAAGACACAACATACCAGAATCTCTGGGACACATTCAAAGCAGTGTGTAGAGGGAAATTTATAGCACTAAATGCCCACAAGAGAAAGCAGGAAAGATCTAAAATTGGCACCCTAACATCACAATTAAAAGAACTAGAGAAGCAAGAGCAAACACATTCAAAAGCTAGCAGAAGGCAAGAAATAACTAAGACCAGAGTGGAACTGAAGGAAATAGACACAAAAAACCCTTCAAAAAATCAATGAATCCAGGAGCTGGTTTTTTGAAAGGATCAACAAAATTGATAGACCACTAGCAAGACTAATAAAGAAGAAAAGACAGAAGAATCAAATAGATGCAATAAAAAATGACAAAAGGGATATCACCACCGATCCCGCAGAAATATAAACTACCATCAGAGAATACTACAAGCACCTCTAGGCAAATAAACTAGAAAATCTAGAAGAAATGGATAAATTTCCTTGACACATACACCCTCCCAAGACTAAACCAGGAAGAAGTTGAATCTCTGAATAGACCAATAACAGGCTCTGAAATTGAGGCAATAATTAATAGCTTACCAACCAAAAAAAGTCCAGGACCAGATGGATTCCCAGCTGAATTCTACCAGAGGTACAAGGAGGAGCTGGTACCATTCCTTCTGAAACTATTCCAATCAATAGAAAAAGAGGGAATCCTCCCTAACTCATTTTATGAGGCCAGCATCATTCTGATACCAAAGCCTGGCAGACACACAACCAAAAAAGAGAATTTTAGACCAATATCCTTGATGAACACTGATGCAAATATCCTCAATAAAATACTGGCAAACCGAATCCAGCAGCATATCAAAAAGCTTATCCACCATGATCAAGTGGGCTTCATCCCTGGGATGCAAGGCTGATTCAACATACGAAAATCAATAAACGTAATCCAGCATATAAACCGAACCAAAGACAAAAACCACATGATTATCTCAATAGATGCAGAAAAGGCCTTTGACAAAATTCAACAACCCTTCATGCTAAAAACTCTCAATAAATTAGGTATTGATGGGATGTATCTCAAAATAATAAGAGCTATCTATGACAAACTCACAGCCAATATCATACTGAATGGAGAAAAACTGGAAGCATTCCCTTTGAAAACTGGCACAAGAGAGGGATGCCCTCTCTCACCACTCCTATTCAACATAGTGTTGGAAGTTCTGGCCAGGGCAATCAGGCAGGAGAAAGAAATAAAGGGCACTCAGTTAGGAAAAAAGGAAGTCAAATTGTCCCTGTTTGCAGATGACATGATTGTATATCTAGAAAACCCCATCATCTCAGCCCAAAATCTCCTTAAGCTGATAAGCAACTTCAGCAAAGTCTCAGGATACAAAATCAATGTACAAAAATCACAAGCATTCTTATACACCAATAACAGACAAACAGAGAGCCAAATCATGAGTGAACTCCCATTCACAATTGCTTCAAAGAGAATAAAATACCTAGGAATCCAACTTACAAGGGATGTGAAGGACCTCTTCAAGGAGAACTACAAACAACTGCTAAATGAAATAAAAGAGGATACAAACAAATGGAAGAACATTCCATGCTCATGGGTAGGAAGAATCAATATCGTGAAAGTGGCCATACTGCCCAGGGTAATTTATAGATTCAATGCCATCCCCATCAAGCTACCAATGACTTTCTTCACAGAATTGGAGAAAACTACTTTAAAGTTCATATGGAACCAAAAAACAGCCTGCATTGCCAAGTCAATTCTGAGCCAAAAGAACAAAGATGGAGGCATCACACTACCTGACTTCAAACTATACTGCAAGGCTACAGTAACCAAAACAACATGGTACTGGTACAAAAACAGAGATATAGACCAATGGAACAGAACAGAGCCCTCAGAAATAATGCTGCTTATCTACAACTACTTGATCTTTGACAAACCTGACAAAAACAAGCAATAGGGAAAGGATTCCCTATTTAATAAATGGTGCTGGGAAAACTGGCTAGCCATATGTAGAAAGCTGAAACTGGATCCTTTCCTTAAACCTTATACAAAAATTAATTCAAGATGGATTAAGGACTTAAACGTTAGACCTAAAACCATAAAAGCCCTAGAAGAAAACCTAGGCATTACCATTCAGGACATAGGCATGGGCAAGGACTTCATGTCTAAAACACCAAAAGCAATGGCAACAGAAGCCAAAATTGACAAATGGGATCTAATTAAACTAAAGAGCTTCTGTACAGCAAAAGAAACTACCATCAGAGTGAACGGGCAACATACAGAATGGGAGAAAAATTTCGCAACCTACTCATCTGACAAAGGGCTAATATGCAGAAGCTACAATGAACTCAAACAAATTTACAAGGAAAAAAATAAACAACCCCATCAAAAAGTGGGAGAAGGATATGAACAGACACTTCTCAAAAGAAGACATTTATGCAGCCAAAAGACACATGAAAAAATGCTCATCATCACTGGCCATCAGAGAAATGCAAATCAAAACCACAATGAGATACCATCTCACACCAGTTAGAATGGCGATCGTTAAAAAGTCAGGAAACAACAGGTGCTGGAGAGGATGTGGAGAAATAGGAACACTTTTCCACTGTTGGTGGGACTGTCAACTAGTTCAACCATTGTAGAAGTCAGTGTGGCGATTCCTCAGGGATCTAGAACTAGAAATACCATTTGACCCAGCCATCCCATTACTGGGTATATACCCAAAGGATTAAAAATCATGCCGCTATAAAGACACATGCACACATATGTTTATTGCAGCACTATTCACAGTAGCAAAGACTTGGAACCAACCCAAATGTCCAACAATGATAGGCTGGATTAAGAAAATGTGGCACATATACACCATGGAATACTATGCAGCCATAAAAAATGATGAGTTCATGTCCTTTGTAGGGACATGGATGAAGCTGGAAACCATCATTCTCAGCAAACTATCCCAAGGACAAAAAACCAAACACCGCATGTTCTCACTCATAGGTGGGAATTGAACAAGGAGAACACACGGACACAGGAAGGGGAACATCACATACGGGGGACTGTTGTGGGGTTGGGGGAGTGGGGAGGGATAGCATTAGGAGATATACCTAATGCTAAATGACCAGTTAATGGGTGCAGCACACCAACATAGCACATGTATACATATTTAACAAACCTGCACATTGTGCACATGTACCCTAAAACTTAAAGTATAATAATAATAAAATTTAAAAAATAAGACAAACAAAAGGCAGGGGTCATGTATAAATAGCAGCTGCTTGCGTTCCTACCTGTTTTGTAGAACTGTGATTAGTAAGCTGTAATTCAATGAGACTGGATGATAGATTTGTCTTCTAATGAATAGGAAGACACTTCTGAGGTAGAATTGCTAGGAGTAGTTGCTGAAGTTGTGTGAGTGGAAGAACGAGCTGTCAAAGTTGAATGTGTTCCTGAGGTTGGACATTTGAGTGAATGGTGATTGCACATGAGAGAGATAGTGATGTACTGACTTCAAAAGTATAGCAACGCAAAGAAATGACCAATGTTTGAGACAATGGATATGCTATCCTGATCTGATCTGTTCACCATACATTCTACATATTGAAGCATTCTTATCCACGTCATAACTATTAAAATTATTATACATCAATTTAAAAAACAGAACGAAATAATATATAGCAAGAGCTTAAAGCCTCCTTGAAGCTAGTCAAATTTTATCTAGCTGTTGTGTCACAAAAGTTAGGCAGAGTTGAGTCACTTTATTACCTAATAACAAGCAACTTTCCAAAATATTCAGGAACAATATCTCAGTATTTCCATTCCAGGGACTAGAAATCACTCCTCATTACTAATTACCTTTCACCCTGTGGTGAATGACCTTTCACCTTATGGCCAATCTTAGATATAAACTGCCAACCTGTCTCACTGCTCACCATCTGAGCGGTCATTGTTTCTTTTTACTATGCACAAGATCTATGTAGCATAAGAATACCATTAATTAAAAATAAACCAAAACTACCACCACTACCAAGACCCTACCATCTATTGAGTTAGCCAAGAAATTCCACTAGAGTCTTTGTGGCCATGCTTTAATAACGTGTAACTAACAACACGAAAATACGTTAGGCTTAACCTATGATTACGTCACAATAGATTCAGCCTTGACATCTTGTTTAATGGTTGCTCAAAATTGTCCAAACATGCCTTAAGAAGATTAATTCTGGCATCTTGCCCAAAGCCTGCAACGCTGACCTCCAGTTTATATTTATTTGGTTTAGTCTGTGTTTGCCAGTGTATTGTACTCAATTTTGTGAACCTCCACAAATCATTTGTGGAAAAGAGAAAGTGTACAAATAAATGAAAATAAATTAGCCCTAAGTTTTGCCTGAAGACCAAACCCAGAGCTAGAAACACAGTATACATATGTGTATATACTGTAAGAAGTGAAATATATATGTTCACTCTCTGTATGTATATATAAAAAAATCACACAAATATTTTTTTCATTTTCATTTCTTTTTGTTTCACAATTGAGTCCTTATGGAAAAACTTTATGCTCAAACAACAATCATCTGTGAAAATATACAAAGTCACTAGCTCTATATGGAAATTTTGATATCAGAAAGACTCCTCACCTTAACCTATTACTTAAGGTGATTTTATTTCAACATAGGCATTATTCTGAAGACTAGACTGTCTAAACTCATAAAGTGAATGTGAAAGATATTTCCAGTCAAGATTGGCTGACACAATTCATTTTACAATCTGTCAACTTGACTCATTAGTTCATAAAGGATACCACTTAGTAGTATCACACTGGTCTTTAAGGGGAAAAATGGATACTACTGAAGGAAAATTGTATTGTTATATAAGACAATCATCAAGTTGCTTTGCAATATCAGTATAATTAAATATTGTTAGTGGGATAAAGGTTGTTTGAAATGAATATAAAACATGCCTGGAAATTGCCTCATGGAAACATTGGTTATATGCTATTACATATAAACATTTGGAATACATTACATAAACATACACAAACACACAGAGGAGTATAACACTAGCCAGTTTATTCAGCATACATTTCTGAAGTTACCTAATTTTCAATAAGAAGACTTAGAAAACAAAATATTTCAGGCTAATTTCTAAAGAAAATATTCATTTTAAGTGGTTTCTCCTAAAATATTCAAGTGATCGTCCATTAACTCAGTTCATTCAACAATTATACTCCTGTGGAAGTTATATCAAATAAAATGCCAGCCATTTTCATAATGAATCTGTGTTTATCTAAGTAAGTTTAAGAAATCTGTATTTAAAAAATCACCTTATTTAAGCATCTTAGTTTTAAATGAAGATAAAGATTATCAGTAATACTACCTCCCTAGCTTCTTTAAGGAAATTAGTCAAAATCTACCCATATTTCTTGCTACCACCTATCTTTGTTGGCTAAACATAGGAGCCAGGACTCCTGTGTTACATAATTTTAAGAGGCATCATTTACACTGCAGTCTAAGTCAATGGCACTCCTGGAGGTTTTGCAGTTCACAACCTGCATAACCAAACTTGGCAGTTCTGGAAAGAATCACTGCTGCAGAATGAGATCTCAGGACTTTTCCTAAACATGCTTATTCAAACGTCCATGAGGACTAAAAGATGAAAAATTATATTTTTTATTATAACAAAACTAAAAAATATAAAACCAGTTATATAGTTTTTGTCAATTGTATCTTAGGAGTCTGCTAAAACCAAGAAAATAATTATCATGGGTTCTTGGGGTCTGGGGAGCAGACAATAGATAGGGCAGTGAGGTATTGTCTAATTGACTAAGTGTCTTCCTCTTAGGGGAGGTGAAATCAATAGAAATATTAAAAACATACCATCTTTACAATGGTCTAGCATATAGTCCTTTGATAATATTGCCTGAGGCCATACTGGAGCTGTACAGTAAAAAAAAGCAGTGATTCTGCTCTGGTAGTTGTCAGGGTATGTGGTTCTTAAACTCTGCACATTTCAACTAAACTTCCAGGTCATACTGACGCTGTTCATCAGGAGGCCACAGTTTGAGAATTATAGCACTAGTGGAGATTCTATAACCAATGAGAGTTCACGTAGACTAAAATTTCCAGAACAACACTCATGTTAATGTGTGTTAAGATGAAAAGACAGGATACAAGTCTTATGCATGATATGTTCCCAAACTTGTAATACATCAAATATTGTTGATGGACTAAAGACTATTTGAAATGCATAAAGTTGTCAACTGCGGTTGTTTTTCGATATTAAGATGAGACAAGTCCTAGAGTGATGCTCGTGTCTATTATCTCAGCACTTTGGGAAGCCATGGCAGGAGGATAACTTGAGATCAGGAGTTTGAGACCAGCCTGGGCAACATAGCAAGACTCCATCTACACACACACACACACACACACACACACACACACACACACACAAATTAGCTGGGCATGGTGTCGCATACCTATAGTCTCAGCTGCTCAGGAGGCTGAAGCAGGAGGATGCTTGAGCTCAGGAGTTCTAGGCTGCAGTGAGCCATGATCATGCCACTGCACCCCAGCATAGGTAACAGAGTGAGATGCCACCTCTTAAAAAAATTCATCATGGAAAATTATTTTATGTTTTCCACTCCATCTTCCAAAGTTTAATGTATTTTAATCAAGCAGTAAAACAACAATGCAGGTTTGTTTTAAAAGGTGAGGAAATCAAATGAGTAATTTTGTATTCTGGGGAACAGTGGAAGAAAGGAGAGGAAGAGAGACATTAGGTAAGAGAGGAGGTTAGGAGAACCCTGGAACTAGTGACAATTTGTACAGTAAAGAGAGGAAGCAGCCAGACATCCCTAAAGCAAATTACAAGCCACAAAGAGAAACATTAATATGCATGTATATTAGTTAAAAGCGAAGGCACTAGGCTGCTGCAACTCAGTAACATGTTTGCCCTTTACATTCCTTTGAGTTTTAAATCACAGGGGTTTTAGTGGGTGATAGGGCTCAGGTCTGTGTCCCTGCTGAAATCTCATGTGGAAATGTAATCCCCAAGGCCGGAGGTGGGGCTCGGTGAGAGGTTATTTGATCCCAGGGGCAGTTTCTCGTGAATGATTTAGCACCATCCACTTGGCACTGTCCTCGTGATGCTGAGTGAGTTCTCAGGAGATCTGGGTGTTTAAAAGTGTGTAGCATCTGCTACCCTCTGTGCTCCTGCTCCCACCGTGTGAGACGCCTCACAATCCCTTTGCCTTCCACCGCGATTGGAAGCTCCCTGAGGCCTCCCCAGAAGCAGATGATGTCATGCTTCCTGTACAGCCTATAGAACTGTGGGCCAATTAAACCTCATTTCTTATAAATTACCCAGTCTCAGGTATTTCTTTATAGCAATGTGAGAACAGAATAATACAGTGAGATTATGACAGAATGATTAAAAGTCACTGTGTATTTTCTGTTAGCATAACACTTCCCATTGCCAGAAAATCTTCCAAAATCATAAATCTAGCCATGCTATATTCCTACTAAAAGGCCTCCAGTGATTTCTATTCTTCACCAAACAATTCCCAACTTTTTAGCCAACTGCAAGCGGATTCTGTCCTGTCTAACTTTTTTTCCCATTCATGAGGTAATTTGGTTCATCAGATGTTTGCCTAGGCGTGTGGCCTTTGTAACTTCACTTCAGTCTCCGATTGGTTGTTTATCCAGTCATTCACTCCTTTGAGAAATCTTGAGATTGCTTATTTTTTATGAAATGGATTTAGCACCAATCAGAATTCCTTGATCCTTACACTTAACTTTGATTACAAGGTAATTACTATGCATTGGAATGTTCTTTAATTCATCCCCACCCAGATGTCAAAGCAAGAGGAACTCATATTTCCTTGTGTACTCTGAGAGACCCTGGGGAAAATGGTTTGAGGTGGGAGACTCCTTTAACAATTCCACAATTTTCTAAAACAACTCCTATTTACATATGTTTACAAAGTTGTAAATATTATATATTTATTATAATACACGTTTAGGCTGGGCACAGTGGCTCTCGCCTGTAATTCCAGCACTTTGGGAGGCCAAGGCGGGTGAATCACCTGAAGTTGGGAGTTCAAGACCAGCCTGACCAACATGGAGAAACCCCGTCTCTACTAAAAATACAAACAAAAATTAGCTGGACGTGGTGGTGCATGCCTGTAATCCCAACTACTTGGGAGGCTGAGGCAGGAGAATCACTTGAACCCCGGAGGTGGAGGTTGCAGTGAGCCGAGATCTCACCATTGCACTCCAGCCTGGGCAACAAGAGTGAAACTCCGTCTCAGAAAACAACAACAAAAAATTATAAAACTAAACTATGAGTTCTGGAGATCTAGGGACAGGAGCACAGGAGGAACAGTAAGAAGTTGTCCAGTGGACCACATTCCTTTCAAAGAAATTGAAATCAACTAATCTATGAGAAGCACCTTCTTTGCAGCTCCCTGGGGCCATCAATTGGACTCTTGATGGTTCTTCCACTCAGTGTATCATCAATCCCCTGGAAATCTAACTCAGGTCAGGGTCTTTAGAAAATTGTAAGTAGCAACCCTTGCTCAAAAACCCCAAACTGAGAAATGCTGAAACTCAAAATACTGAAGCAGCCTTCTTCATGGATGGACTGGGACACTCCAAAAAGAAAATTCTCAGTACTCTGCTAGGATGTCCTTCTGCTAGTGGTTGAGTCCATTCAGTATCCCTTAAATTAGGAAAGATATTTCACTACTTTGCAGGGCCTTCACATCATGTTAAGGTGAAGAAAACCTATCACTCTTTGTTCCTGTATGTCAACTAGAATTATCATGAGTGATAGCAACAAGATCCTGCGCTCACATTTCTTCTTATAATTGTGTGTGTGTGTGTGTGTGTGTGTGTGTGTGTGTGTGTGTGTGTGTTGTCATGGAGGGAGGTAACAAAAACCAAAAAAGCCCACTTTCTCACCGTGTCCTCACTCTGCCAGCCCCTAGTTGTATGACTTCACTCTCTGGCCTGTATTTCTAAAATTAATGAGTTACCATGAGCAGTGGTTCTCAAATATGGCTGATGACTAGAGATATTTAAGAATTGAGAGAATCACTGGTCCCTATTAAAATCTAAAAATTTACTTTCTTTTGTTTCTATGATTTCCTTCTTCTACCAGTAATGAAAAATACATTATATAAGACAATATTTATGGATAAGTAGCCATTAACCTTTCACAGTATTTTTTAGGAAAATATAAAATTGATGCTGTAGGAAAACAATCTTCCTTTTGATTTTTTCCATCATCAATGCCAGTTATGTCACTTCCTGAAGTTAGAGAAAACAAGAAGTGAGTTAAGGCAGTTAATCACGTGTCCTCTTTAAGGTAATGAAATCACCCTTACTATTTAAAAATAATCAGCGCATGCTTTAGAGTAAGCTTTCCATAGTTCAGGCAGTAAGAGAGCGAGAGAGGAAGAATCGAGCCTATTTTTCTTGACTCAGTTGGTTTGTCACTGTAAAACTTAGTTGACAAATGCTCACTGGGTACTCCTACACACTCAATAGCACACATATTATTCTTACTCAATAAGTGGAGAGAAAACATACCCTTCCAACTATGATTTTTAAATTGTTATTTTCTTAAAATAACGCTTTTTCAGTCACCTTGGAAATAGGTGCAAATGCAAATCTAAATCCCATATGCAGTAATGATTTGGTTGAAACAAATACTATTCCCTTGAGCTATGTTGGTTTGAGGGGGAAAAAATATGACTCTTCTAGTGGGAAGATTGCAATGGCTCTGCTCCTAAGGGGGAAAAAAGCCATACAGATAAGATGTTCTTATTTATAACATGTAACAAGATATGTTGCTAGACACAAGCATCTTTCTGATGACTTATCCTGCTGATCAGAGTACCAATGAGTTTATTTTCATAATTACAACAGATGGAAAACAATAAAATTATACTTTAGGCTAATGTACTCTCACCCTTATTATCCTTTTTTTTTGGTATGTGTGTCTCCCCTGAAGCTATTTTATAACAATACAAAACTTGCAGAAATATGGCACCGCAAAAGCCTGACCAGATTTTCTAATTATCTGTCATGACTCAAGAGTGCAGTAAGAAATTAGCTCTCCGGGGAGAGAAAAAACTTGATGGAACTTAAAATAATAGAAAGAATCCTATGATGTCTCTCCTCAACAAGTTGAGAAAGAAATCTGTCCATTTTTAGTGGGTTTACTAACTTGCTTTCCTTTTTTTAAAAAAATTGTAGTTTTATGTCAGCTACAAAGAGTTGTGTTAATCAGATCCCTTAACACATGACATGCTGTCATGCAAAGATTTACTCTTGTTTAATTAATTAAATTTTATTTATTTCATCCTCAATTCTATTCCAGTCCTGTCTTCTCATCACAAGCTATTAATTCTGGAATAGAATGAATGAGATGTATGTACTTGGAATACATATGTATAATTATATATCATATATATTTAACACATCTACTTCCTTAATCTCCATATTTCCCACCCTCCCATGTACTTATGTGTGTTCATGTGAACAAATAATTCTGGCCAATGGGGTATAGACAGAAGTGATATACACCTGGACCAAGAAACTTTCCACGTGCTGTTTTTTTTCTCTCTCTCTCTTTCATCATCCTTTGGATGGATAACAACAGATAGTGTTGCTATAGAAACCACCCATTGAAAATGTCAAAACCTTCATCAGCCTGGGTTCCCTGAATGACTGTGTGGATCCATTCTCTCAACACATACCAATGACTATACTCTCACATGAATAAAGGGCTTTTTGTTTATTAACTCACTGAAATGTTAAAGTTTATCTGTACTTACCTCACTGTTTATTTCACTATAAGGAATCATGAGGTTTACATGGTCTACGTTGCTGACTTTGTCAACTAATTTTTGTCTATTGTAATTCAGTTAGAATGCCTGGAAAGCCAGTCTGTAAGAGAGACAACAGAAAGCCAACTGAAGTTTTCTCTTAATCTGGCTCATTGTCACAGTGTTGGAGGCTGGATTTTATGAGAATCTTAGGTGTTCTATTGATCATTCACCCATCAATTGCACAGAGCACTGAGTCTGCGTTAGCAGCTTAAGGCAAACTGCTTTAACCAAAATAAATTGTATTAATATGGCAACATCATTTGCCTTGAATACTTTAACAGTCAGTAGGTAAGAACATTTGAAAAGAACCTATTCAAAAGATCAAGTGACACCTTGTTTCTTGAAAAAAAAAAAAAGCAAAACAAAGACAAGCTCTTCGCCAAACTAAATTACAGAAACATATGTTAGGGAACGTGTCACTACCCTACATCTACTTATTGCGCAGGAGGACCCCAGATATTTAGATGGCTTTGGAATTCTCAGAAATATTGGACATGGTAATACTAGAGTTTTCCATGTGTTGGAGCTGATAGTGTATTTTCTATTTGTTTTTAATGGATTTTAATTTTTAGGATAGTTTAAGAGTTACAGAAATATTGAGGGTAAAGTACAAAGAATTTCCATAGACCCCATCTCCCCCATACCCTCACTTTTCCCTATTATTCCCATCTTGCATTAGTGTGGTATATTTGTTACAACTGAGGAAACTATATCGATATATTATTATTAACTAAAGTCCATGTTGACATTGGGTTTCATTCTTTGTGTAGTAGTACAATTCCGTGGGTTTTGCCAAATGCAAAATATCCTGTATCCACCATTACAGCATCATACAGAACAGTGTCATTGCCCTAAAAATAGCCTGTGCCCCAGGTATTTCCCTCTTCTCCCCCATAACCCTGGCAAACACCAATCTTTTTACTATCTGTACAGCTTTGTCTTTTCCGGAATGTTATATACCTGGAATCATACAGCATTTAGCCTTTCCACATTGGCTTCTTAAACTTAGTAACACACAATTAAGGTTCCTTTGTCTCTTTTTGTGGTTTGATAGATCATTTCTTCTTATCTCTGAATAATATTCCATTGCATGGATGTACCAGAGTTTGTTTATCCATTCACCTATTCACCTATTGAAGGATATCTTGATTGCTTTCAATTTTTGGCAATTATGAATAAACCTGCTATAAACTTTTATGTGTAGGCATTTCTATGGACATAACATTTTCAATTCATTTGGGTAAATACCTAAGAGCACAATTGCTGGGTTGTATAGTAAAACTATGTTTGGCTTTGTAAGCAGCTGTCAGATTGTTTTTGACAGTGGCTTCACTATTTGGCTTTCCCACTAGATGTGAATGACAGTTTCTGTTGCTCAACATCCTCACCCACATTTGATGTTGTCAGTGTTTTGATTTTTTTGCCATTCTAATAAGTGTAGTGGTATCTCATTGTGGTTTTAATTTGCAATCTCTAACGAATGTACAGTGTTGAGCACCTTTTCATATGTGTATTTAACATTTGTCTATCTTCTTTGGTGAGTTGTCTGTTTAGATTTTTTGCCCATGTCTAATTGGGTTGTTCTCCTATTGCTCAGTTATAAGAGCTGGTTGTAGATTTTGGAAACAAAGTCCTTTATCAGATACATGTTATTCAAGTATTGTCTTTCTCTCCCAGCCTGTGGCTTATCTTTTCTTTCTCTTAACAGTGTCTTTCAGAAACAGATGTTTTTAATTTCAATAAAGTCCAACTTCATTTTCTCTTTCATGAAGCATGCTTTTGCTATTGCATCTAAAAAGTCATTTCCAAATCTGAGGTCCCCTAGATAGTCTCCTATGTTATCTTTTGGTACTTATTTTTAATCTAAAAATATTTTATAATCGTTATACCATTGGGGATAGTAGAGTCATAAGTTTATGATTTACATCACTGATTTTATGTAATTTTGATTGGTGCACCACATTTTTGATATGTACAGTATTTCCCTACTCTGAGAAGTAGTGATATATTTGTTGGAAATGGGTACATGCTTTTTTATACTAGATTAAATCTGTCCATTTCTTCTGAGTCCTTCAGGGAATCTCCTGAGAGTAGGGCAGCACACTTTTATTCTTGGGAAGAGAGGAAAGCATACCTGCTATGGAACCATAATGTTGGTCACTTTATACCTCCAAAGTCATGCCCATCGTCATATCTGATTTACTGAAAGCTTCCCGTTATAAGAGGGGAACATACTCTACCTGATTCAATGATTGGCAACTGCAGTGAATGAACTGCTGATGTCTTCCCCAAGGAAGAGCTCAAACATCATCAATTAGCAGAGATGGCGGAAGGAAAGATCCATCTTCTCTACGATACGTCTGAGAGAGGAAGGAGACGAAGCTACACCGTCCTCACCCTTGCTAGTTGTAATGTGCATCTTTGAAGAGAAGGAGGCAGATACTAGCAATGGAAAAACTATCCCTGGGAAGTCTATGTTTATCTTTGAAAATGTGGCTGTATAATAAAGCACAGTAAGCTTAGTTTTTTCAATGTAACACTCTAAAAAGCTACTCATTCATTTTGAAGTTGTTGTCATTGCTCAAGATATTCTTAGAACTATTGTTTGGAATTAGACTTTTTAAGGTGTTTACAAGAGGTACAAGAAAAATAATTCAACTTGTTTTTAAATCATGCCTCCAAATAACAACTATTGAAAGAATAAATTAATAAACTTAATTTTAAAACCTAAAATCAATAAGCTATTGACTTTTTCAGCAGTAAAATAAAATAAAAAATCAAGGTATAATTATATGATAGAATTAATGATTAGAAAATTAAGATACTGCAAAGATCTACAAGAAACTACATGTTTTTTGAACGCTTATTTTCCATTAAATGGAGTAATAATGCAGTTTTCTTCCTTGTTTACCATATCTCATACTGTTTTCCCTTATTTTTTGTTTCCTTTTCCACCCAGACTGACACTTTTTTACCTCACCAGTAACTACAGTATTGGCTAAAGTTCCAGAACCTTATTCCTCCCTTAAATAATTACAAAGAATCTAACATTCTGTGAGGTTACTTACTCCCATTACAACACTAAACTACTCTCCAAATGGAGTCAGTGCTATTAGAACTCATTTCCTTGAAGTCTATTTCGCTTTTACTTTTTCAGCCAACTCACTCTCCCTCCCTAATTTGGATTATAAACTCAGGGGAAGGGACAGTGTCTTACCCTATATCAACTAGGTGTTCAATGAATATTATTATTATTATTATTAAAATTCATAATGATGCCAGGCTTGGCCTAATCAATTTTAATTCAGCTTAATCTCTTTCAATTAAGTTTAATTTAGGAGGTGCTGCCCTGATATTTTTCTTTTACCTAGATTTCTAATTTACTTCTGCAATAGGCTCCTCCTTTCATCTTTTTTTTCTTGCCTCATAAATTTCTTCTACAGGCAAGATGTTTTCTTTATGCCATTGCTAAGGTGCATTTTATCTGACAGATGCTTTTAAAAGAGACTGCTTTCCTTGCCTATTCTAAAGCATTATGCACAGCTTTTTGTATTAAAGCTAATTTTTCTCCCAGTGAATTGAAAAAAGCTGACTGAAACAAACTCACCTCTAGGCAGTTACGGTTCATATTAGCAAGTGGGAAGGGTATCTGATGAGCAGTTTCTGTGCTTTGGAGAAAGTGCTCCTGTAGCTGTGTGGAAGATGGATTAAGCTGTGCAAGAGTAGAGACAACAAGATCTGTTTGGAGGCTACTGAAATTATCCATGTTAGTGTAGCAAGAGATTGTCCAAAGCTCTGACAGTAATGATAGAGAGCTTTCAGTATATACTTTGAGAAAGGTGACCAAAGAGAACTTGCTGATGACAGGGAGATGTGAAAAGCCGATCTGAGCAGCGGGTGATACAGGAGAAGCAGGGGCAATGGCGAGTGTTCTGGGTACCACTAGTTTAATAAATAAAGACTTGGAAGTGTCCGGGCCTGGTGGCTCATGCCTGTAATCCCAGCACTTTGGGAGTCCAAGGTGAGAGGATCACTTGAGGCCAGGAGTTCAAGACCAGCCTGGCCAACATGGCAAAACCTCGTCTCTACTAAAAATACAAAAATTAGCTGGGCGTGATGGCCCATGCCTGTAATCCCAGCTACTGGGGAGGCTGAGACAGGGGAATCGCTTGAAGCCAGAAGGCGGAGGTGGCAGTGATCCACGATCACATCTCTGACCTCTAGCCTGGGCAGCTGAGTGAGACCCTATTTCAAAGACTTGGAAGAGTTGAGGATCACCTTTCCTTAGGAAAGAATAGTACCCTCTAAAGGGAATGGCTGGGTAAAATACTGAAGATGGCTGAGGCTGGAAGTATAGAAAATGCCAATATTTATGGAGATAAATAAAGAAATACAAATTCAAGAAGTATACCGAGTAGCAGTGAACAGAAAAATAGGACAATGAGGAAAACATCTGGTTATGTAAGCCATCTGGTATTTTATCATCAGAGGCTCTGGAAAGGGAGAATTGCACATGATTCTGAGCCTCTAGGGTGTGCTCTCTGTCAAGAGAGGGAATTCACTTAAAAGGCACTATTAACAGGGCTGATATGTGGCTAGGGGGCTGTAGCTAGCAAGCAGGCTCTGGTACCTCTCTACAATAGTTTGAGGTTAGCATCCGTTCTGATATGTCAGCCTGTGCAGTGTTACATATTTATAATATCGCTGGACTGTAACAGTAGCTATCGCTTTTTCGTTGCAACTGTACTTCCCATCTAACTTGTTGCTCTAAGAAGATAGTTTCCTGCCTCTTGTTCTTATATAAGACCATCTCTAAAATGTCTTGTGACGGTGGCATGATGCAGCTGAATGAGGAATCATACACACACTTGGAGCTCAGTCCTAAGTATGACACTCATTAGCTTTCTGAACTTGGGTAAGTTATCAAAACTTTCTGAATTTCAATTATTTGCATAAAGACGGAAAAAAAAAAACAAGAAAAATCCAAAAAGTTTTAGATATTAAATGAGACGCCACATATGACACTACTTATCATATAACCAATAAGATAGAGGCGCTGAGTAAATGTTGATTTTTCTTTTGCTCTGGCAAGTCAGTTCTATCTCTCCTTTCCAGGAAGTTTTTGTACCCTGGTATTCCTGAAATCCTAAAATTAGGTCCTCTTTACTGCTAGTCCCTCTTAGGATGATGATCAATGCCACCTTTTCAGAGAAGTCTTTGAAAGAATCAACTCTTCAAAGAAGAACACAGAGTTAACACCTATATGAAAAGATGGCACTATTCATCATTCTTTTATTCATTCCTATAAACTTTTTTGCCTATATTTTCTAAGCAATCGGAGTAACATTGTGTCTTTCATTGTTCACTCCTTCATCCATTTCAGCTGTTATCTTTTTACTCTTTAATATACAGTGATGGCTCAACTGATGAAGTGTTGAAATAAACATCTGCTCACACACATCCTGTTGGAATGCAGACTAGAGCCTTAAGCATTTTTAGCTGACAAGTTATCTGTACATATGCAGCATTTTACACTTACCAAGAAGAATTCTATGTGCTAAACACATGCAAAAACGTAATTGCCAGCCCCATAAAAGTAAAAGATTTACCTTTACCTTCTGTAATTTCCATGATGGTTATAAAGGTTTTCAGTCTTCATGTGAGTGGTCAAAATTAAGTCACTTTGATTTATTTTGAATCAAACAAACAACAAAAGTTTGTGATTTCCAGAGCGAGGCATTTTCAATTAGAGATGAAGTGGATGAGAGATTTCACAAGAAAAAGTTTTGAAATATGAAACCCAACTAGGCTTTTCTTCAAAAGAGATAACATGAAGCAGAATACAGTAGTGAACCAGGCACTTAGGCTTGTATCTGGAGTCCTGGAGTTTCACGCCTGACTCATGGGTAAAAAAGCATGAATTAATGCACTTTATTCCACTATCAGTATCTCTAAAATGAGAATATTGGACAGAAGAGCTCAGAAAAGAGGCAACCTACAAACACATGGAATATAAAAGGTCATCAACAAATGCTAGCTGCCTTCCCCTAATTCTAATCTTAACGTGCCATGATCGTAGTGCTATTATTCACATACGGACATTCTGTTTTGCTCGACTCTACCACAATGTGTTTGAAGTAACAACTCCATAGTAAATATAACAATTAACTCAATCACTCTCATTCCTTACCTAAAGTCTTTCATAGTAAATGTGAAAGCCATGTTTTGGCAGTAAGAAAATAAATTATATGAAGCCAGGCTGTAATATGAGAAAGCTTTATATATATTGCATGGTCAGAATTAACACTGTAGATAGTCTAGTCAATAGTTTCCATAATAGTGCAACCATTAAACACTTCAGCTCGACTAATTATGTTAAACTAGAAAGCAAATGTGTGCAAAAACATGCTTACACATTCTTTTACATTTACATTATGAGGACATATAATATATGGGCTTTTGACCAAGACATACTCTGAACATGGCTGGCATGGGGTTCTGTGTATCACATAAACATCTATTGCATTAAAATGATTGATGTGAGTTGAAATCACAGAACCAGGTCCTAGCCCAACAGGCAATAGAAGGCTTGGGTTGATTAGCCTATTTCACATTTAAAGTTCAAAGAGAGATTGTGGGTGACCCAATCAAGGTTGATTGGTGGAGAAACCTGCAAGGCAGTCAACACAGAAAAAAACGAGAGAAAATTTAATAACAACTGAAAAGTAAAATCAAAGATAATGACTTGACCTGAGCTTACAGAGGCTGGGAGACTCAGAAATGATGTTTTTCACTTCATCCATAACACACACTGCTCTTCTCTGGTCCTGAAAATAGCATGTGACCTATGAAGCATCCTATTAGCTGTTTCAGAAAAGCACATTTTCTTCTGAAAAGAAATCGGTTTAACAATCAAGGAAGCAAGTACACACACAAAGCCAAACACACTGGGTTTGGCACTCATTCAAAATGTCATGTCATTCGAATACGTCTCTGGTTTTTAATGGTGCTTCACTTGGGTCTAATCACATTCAAACCCTGCTGGGTTGCATGCTATTATATGCTCTAGAAATGTGTAGCTGAGACATAACGAAAATAAAAAGCTCATACAAGCCAGTAGCTGAAGCACAGGAAGAAGACGCCTTTGGGATTCCATATCGTTTGGTGCAACTGGCTTACAAGGTCATCTATGACTTGTTGCCCACCTGTGTCTCCGTTCCCTCATTGTGAAAATAAAAGTGATCATTAGAAATGATTTATGACCTAGACTTGTCATATTTATTTTCTTTAAATTACATTTAGGAGGCTGTTTTAGCAAACAGAAAAACAGCTCTGATTGTCTCCTTTTCTTTCCTATTACAACATGAAAGACACTGGGAAGACATTTCCAAACATCTATTTCTACCAAAATGGGAGCAGTGTTATTTCTACATTTTCCAGGAATATCGTGGTTATGAAAAGTTTCAAGTGAAATGATAATATAAAACTTTCTTCCCAAATATTTCAAGTGGTGAATTTTCTTGCTCTGATCATTTTAGCTTTGTAAAAGGTTATATTAAATTGTATGTGCACATCAAACAGTATTATGCATCTTTAGGCAAGTACATAGGAATAACTGGTCCTTTGATTATTTTCCCCCTGAAGTTTGAACATTTGCTCATGAAGGCTTTGCTATTTTTTTTTTATTGTTGACATTCAAATGGAATTGAAACAAGAGTTTTCTGGTCAGAAGAAGAAAAAAGAGAAAATTGATAGAAGCCAAATAAACTTGTGATCGTTTTTGACAATTTCCCAACGTGGTTTCTTCCTCATACCAGCTGCCAGAGTGATGTAATCAGAAACGAAATGCATTTTATGATAAATGCCTTGGGGTAAATGTAGCTCACAAAAGATATTACAGTTTTCCTCTCTTTAGCTTCCTCAAAAATACATCTTTATCTTGAATTGCCTTAACATTAGCTGTTTATCCAAAGACAAAAGGAAACACATACACATATATACACAGGTATACTCATCAAGTTTGGCTCATTGAGCCAAGAGATGACCATATTACGTTTTATTTTCCTAATCCCAGGACAACTAAACATTAACATGTTTTGCCCAGAGTAACTGAATATGACAAGAAATATGAAAGAACATATTGTAGGTGCAGACAGCTCTTCCCAAAGTAAATTTAAATGGCATAGGTTTAAAAAACACTCCTGTAGGAGGCTTCATTCCATTTGCAGAACTCAATCTTTGCCACTGACAAAATAATCAGACACCAAGGAAAGAAGCATGATCCATTAAGTGAGCTGGGGTTTGAAGTTCAGAGGCGTTTGGTGGAACACGTGGACGGGCTAATAAGACGCTGTGGATCCATGGGAAAAGGATGGGCACGAGAAGATCCTGTAAGACCTGCTAAAAGCCCCAACAGGGGAACAGGACGTCAGCAGATGCGAGGGCCACTGTAGCCACAGCAGTGCTGTTGGAGTGTTACCGTGGTTTGGCATGGGCCATGCTGACTCACAACAGGCATAGTACACGTACATTACCTCTGGCCTTGATCACAGAGTGGGAAGCCCACTAAGGGGAACCAATACTCCTCAATCAGATCAACAGTCACTGAAAAATAGCCTTCTAATATCATAAGAAACAACACTTTAAAATAATAAAGTGATCTGACGTATGTAGTAGCAGGAATACTTAACCATCTCCTTGCAGCCAAGTCCTCCTTTTCCCAGGTTAGGTTCAGGTGGGAAACCAGGGGGACTGATCTGCTACTCATAAAACTATATGAACAAACTCTTAATGCCTAGATATAAGAGTGTTAGGACGTCTGCCCAGGGACCAGTCCAGAAGATTACAAGAGGTACTCAGACTGCACTTTGAAAGCTAGTCTTTCAGTGCTGCATTAAAACAATTTATTTTTTCAATACCAAGGAACACTGTAAGCCATGAAGCAATCATAAGCCTCTTGCTAAATGATCTCTAACCTTTACTCAGCCCAGCCCTGTTGTCCAGAGCTCTCGTGTCCCAGGGGCTCCTGAGTGGCTCATCTCCCTCTCACCTATGCCTGCTGTTCCTTTCTTGCCCTAGAGAAAACACAAATCTCATTTACTTCACACCATTGTGGTATGAGCAGTGTGAGTGCTGAAGATTGAAGGAGGTTCCTCCCATCAGAAGTTCTCAATTTGCTGTGCACTGGACCCTCCCCAGGAGAGCTTGTTAAACTCAGATTGCTGGACCTTACCCAGAGTCTCCGAGTCTGTATCTCTAGGATGGGGCCAGGGATCAAGCATTTCTTTCTTTCTTTTTTTGTTTGTTTGAGACAGGGTCTCACTCTGTCGCCCCGGCTGGAGTACAGTGGTGTAATCATTACTCACTGTAGCCTCAACCACCTAGACTCAAGCAATCCTCTTGCCTCAGCCTCCTGAGTAGCTGGTACTATAGGTGCATGCCACCATGCCTGGCTAATTAAAAAAAAAATGTAGAGATGGGGTCTCACTATGTTGTCAAGCTTGGTCTCAAACTCCTGAGTTTAAGCAATCCTCCCACCTTGGCCTCCCAAAATGCTGGGATTACAGGCATGAGCCACCCTATCCAGCTGGAACAAGCGTTTCTAACAACTCCTGTCTTAAATGATCATTACTCATGTTATAATTGTTTTCCACACTACCCTCTTCATTATGTGAAGAGAACATTTCTAGAGCTGAGAAGATTGTGGAAAATACCTGGTTCAAATACCTCCTTTTAGAGAAAAATGAGTCCCAGAGAGGTGAAAGAGTATGACAACGCTATATCTCAGGTTGCCAGATTTTCAGTTCAAAAGTTCTCTCATGATGTATCCTCCATCCTACCTTATAGCTGGCTACTTCCAGTAGCTTTTGATGAGCTTTACCTCTGCAAAGCTCAACCTAATTTATATTGGCTACCCAAAAACATTATGCGAAACTTTCAAAAAAATATGACTTCCCCACGTTCAGCCCTAAATTAATAATCAAACTCAAGTTTACCATAATTATCAATATTTAATGGTAATTTTTTCATTTTTATATGAATGGCATTAATCTTAGATATTTAGTAGAGACCAAAACTTTAGAAATTTTTGAGTTTTTTGAAATAAGCTTTGTCTTCTTAAAAAATATTTTGTCAATAGCTTGTTTGTTCAATTTTGCTGAGAAAGAAAGCTAATACCTTTCGAATAAATGTGAGACAACACATTTCTTTCTACTAGTGTTGAATTTCAAAGTATTTTTGTGACATCTCTCAGCATTCTGTGTGTGTGTGAGATTGTGTGTGCATACGTGTTGTAAGGAAATTGGGTGATGCAAGAATGCTCTGTTTTGTAGCTTCATTTTCCTTTTGTATTGGACTCTTCTTGACAAATATCACTGTAAAACTATTCCCACTTTTCCAAGACAGAGCTCGTTCTTTGGTTGTATTTATAAATAAGGTTTAAGCTGTGCTTATGCTATAGCGAAGAATGGATCACCATAAAATACAAATTCATACTGTGTGGGAAAAAGTCTCATGCCTTGTGACTTACCTGGAAACTATTTTGTAGATATGGACAACTTGCCACATGGCTTCTTCCAGACTCCTTAGGAGGATTTTCATGTCTTGGTTTTTGGGAAGATGTGGATTTTGAAGGGAAAAACTAGAAACCAAGACTTTTCCTTTGGTTTTGTTGTTTTCGTTTTTGCTATTCTCACTGCCAAATCCCTTAAAAATGGAACTTTTCCCATTTTAAGAGGCGTGAGATAGTCTGCAAGTATCTTGCTGTCAAGGCCAATGCCTGGTACAGAGTAGTTAGAATGGGGGAACCAGGCATGATGGTCACACCTGTGGTCCCAACTACATGGGAGGTTGAGGGGAGGATTGCTTGAGCCCACGAGTTTGAAACTGCAGTGAGCGGTGATTGCACCATTGCACTACAGCCTGGGTGACAGAGCAAGCCCTTGAATTTTCAAAAAAAAAAAAAGAGGGAGCAACAGAAATTCTTCGGAAATGTTGCTGCTTCCAGAACGTTGATAGGTGTTTCCTCAAGTATCTTTACTTCCATAGGAGGTGTCAATTATTTTCAGCCCATCTAAACTACTGGCATCCTTAGTTACCTGGCAACTGTGAACAATATTCCTTTGAGGTTATCCACAGTCACAGTGATTCAGATGCTGATTCCTAAAGCTACCTCTCTAATAAAAATGAAAAAAAAAAAAAAAGCATGAGGATTTCAAATAGTTTGGTATGTTATGGATTTTTAAATTTGAGCTTCTAAGAGACAAGGGGCTATGAATACACTTCTTCTTGTTGACAGCAGAACCTTAGGGACTCCCAGTATGCAATTCAGTGTGAATCACCTTGAACACCAAAGCCAACAAGTCTGTTGTATTTCACATATCTGAAACTGTCTGTGGGAATGCAGCATTGGCATAATAAAAAGAAACTTGAGATATCATCTGGTTATAGACACTTTGCTTATGGAAATAAATATTTAAGTAATCTGCAACAAATGTTGTCTATTTTCTTTTTGGGAAATTACAAGAGTAATTGATTCTGAGTTAGCTTTTGTTTTGCTTTGTGTGTGTGTTTTTTGTTTGTTTGTTTTAGAGACAGGGTCTCACTCTGTCACCCAGGCTGGAGTGCATTGGGGTAATCGTAGTTCACTGAAGCCTTGGACACCTGGGCTCAAGCAATCCTCCCACCTTAGCTTCCCAAGTAGCTGGGACTACAGGAGTGTGCCACCATGCCCAGGTAGTTTTTTTTTTTTTGTTTTGTTTTGTTTTTTTCATTTTTTGTAGAGGCAGTCTCACTTTGTTGCCAGGCTGATCTCAAATCCCTAGCCTCAAGCAAGTCTCCTGGCTGAGCCTCCCACAGTGCTGGGATTACAGGTGTGAGCCACTGCACTCGGCCAGTTCTTTTTTATTTGTCAAAAAAATGAACATATTAGAGGCATAATGGGCACTGGCTACAGGAATCTTAAGATTGAGCAGGAGAAACAGCCATGTAACTATTTGTTTAAAGGTTAGGTAATAATTAAATACATGTTACAATTTAGATAAAATCTATGGAAGAGTAGAGGTGGTAGGGATTAAATTTACCCAGGGCCATTGAAGAAAAGCATCTAGCAGAGGGTTGCATTTGAGCTGAACCTTTAGGATGAAGCCAGCTTTAGTAGGTAAAGAGAGCTATGAGAAAGTTACAAAGAGTTAAGGTTTGTCTGGGAAGATGGTGAATGTAACCAGAGTGAACAACAAATTAACCAGGGTGAAGAAGTGACACTAAACATATTGCAAAGTCCAGTTTGAGCAAGACTTTAAATGTCATGTTAATGAATCTGAAATTTATTCTTCAACCAATTGCAATATATTGAAGGTTTGAGCAGAGAGACACCACCATTTACTATACTTTGGTGAAATTAGGTTAGCGGTAATTTCCTCTCTGAATCCATTGTTTCTTACTACTTACTCTCACCCTACTCCACATCCATGGCCTCCCTGCTGTTCCATGAACACACCAAGCATGTTTCTATTTCAGGGCCTTTGAATTTGTTATTCCTCATTCCTAGAAAGCGTGTTCCCAGGTATCCACATGACTTCCTCCTTATTCCTTCGCTTGTTTCATTTCACTGTACAAAAGTCACTGTCAGTAAAACTTTTCTTTTTTGCCTGCACTAAAATGACAACCCCTCCCCTGAATTTCCATCTCCCTACTTTATTTTCTCTATAGTGCCTGCAACCATCTAATGTCACATAGCACCCTCCTATAATTTGCTCTCCATGAGGGCAAGGATTTTTGTTTTGTTTCCTGCTTTGTTCATTGCCTAGAATGGAGTCAAAGGCACACTTGAGGCTTAGCAAATAGTGTTAAGAGGCTAAAAAAGAGACGGAGAAGATGTGTGTCTTAGAATGCTCACACAGCCATAACAACAGGCAGCGGCTCACACCTGTAATTCCAACACTTTGGGAGGCTAAGGCAGGCAGATCATGAGGTCAGGAGTTTGAGATCAGCCAGGCCAACATGGTGGAATCCCATCTCTACTAAAAATACAAAAATTAGCCAAGCATGATGGTGGGTGCCTATAATTCCTGCTACTCGGGAGGCTGAGGCAGGGGAATCTCTTGAAGCCGGGAGGTGGAGGTTGCGGTAAGCCGAGATTGTGATATTGCACTCCAGCCTGGGCAACAAGAGGGAAACTCGGTCTCAAAAAATTAATTAATTAATTAATTGAGTGGTAAAAGCAACAGAAATTTAATTTCATATAGCTCTGGAGACTGGAAGTTCAAAATTCTGGGTACCCACATAACTGAGTTACAAGAGGGCTCTCCTCCTGACTTACAGACAGCAGCCTTCCTGTTATGTTTTCACATAGCAAAGAGGGAGCTCTCTCGCATGTCTCTTCTTATTCTTATCATGGAGGCCTCACCCTCATAACCTCATCTGAATCTTATTACCTTCCAAAGGCCCTATCTCCAAACACCATCACCTTGGGGGTTAGGCCTTCAACGTATGCATTCTAGGGGTACAAAAACATTCAGTCCACAAACGAGCAATTAAAGAAGGAGAGGGAAATAGGCATGGGGTGCTCTCTCTGATTCCAAGGGAGTAGGTGCTTCTGGGCAGCACTTAGCCAACACTTCCTCAGCCCCCAATCCTCCCTGCAACTGATAGTCCCAGAGGAAAACTGGGAATTAAGAAAGATGATGACTACAGCATGTCAGAAATTTAACATGCCTCTTAGATAAAGATGGGAAGTAGTAAAAGAGGCAGAAAGGGCCAAAGGGAAATATAAAGAGGTGACATTGATGAAATCTCCACCCTCCTCAAATGTGTCCTTTATGGGAAGGATGGTGGATGGTGAGCTATGGCAGAGGAGACCAGCTCTTCTGAGCAGGGCTGAGCTGCTGCAAGGCCTGGCCACGCTTCCTTCCCCTCCATGTGATAGACTTGCCGCCTCCCTGTTGGATTGATTCCTGGTGTGGGTGAGGACAACATGGAGGAAATTATTGGGATTTTACTGGGAACCAGGTGGCAACACTCAGAAGAAAGGCCAGAAATGAATAAAGACTCGAGAGGAGGATTTTTTTTTTTTTGTGGGAAGTGTGTATATTGAACAGAAAATGAGTCCAGCTGTGCTTACCAGTGGGTGGGAAGACAATAAAAACCATTACGCCTATAAAAGGATAAGTAGGTCAAAAACGAGGGGCCAGCCTACTAACAGGAGGAGAGCAGCTCTCTGAAAGGAACATTTGGGATGAAGCAGAAAACCTAAATTAATTCTGAGACACGATCTAAAGAAAGTCGAGAAAACATATCCATTAAACTCCTTCAGGTCATCTTCTAGAAGAAAAACGCCTTGGAGATTTAGGAGACAGGGACACAGCTGCCAAATTAAAAATTGGAAGAGGTACCACTAACAACGAAAGGTGGAGGACATGACTATGGGGGTAAATGATAGACTTTAAAAACTCACCAAGAACTCAAGGGAAAGGAGAAGGAGAAAATATAAGCAACACAGGAAAGAAACCATAGAGATCCAATCTATATGTAAAATAATTTCCAGAAATTTCAAACATTATTATTCTTGGAAAAAAAGGAATAGATAAAATATTAAAGAAATACAAGTTCATAAATAGTTATGAACTAGTTATGTATGAACCATGGTAGACTATGGTACGTACATCTCCCATTACCCTACCCTCATCCCAAAAGACCAACTGCCACTCTCTTGTTCTCTGACCACCTCTTGCTTTGAGACTTTTCCCCATCCATTCATCTTATAGTCCCTGGCTTCTCACAACTTCTCCTGGAATTGGACTAAATTTCAATGGGATGTTTAAATAAACATGGCATCACTGATTAGAATTAGATAGATGATGTGTAATGTTTTCTTTTCTGACATTTATCACTCATATATTTGTTAAACTAAGAAGAGCTCTGCATATGCACACTGTCATAAAGACACATGCACACGAATGTTCACTGAAGCACTATTCACAATAGCAAAGATGTGGAATCAACCTAAATGCCCATCAATGACAGATTTTATAAAGAACATGTGGTACATATACATGATGGAATACTATGCAGCCATAAGAAAGAATAAGATCATGTCTTTTGCAGGAATATGGGTGGAGCTGGAAGCCATTAACCTTAGCAAACTAACGCAGGAACAGAAAACAAAAAAAAAGCCATGTGTTCTCAATTATAAATGAGAGCCAAATGATAAGAACTTATGAACACAAAGAAGGAAACAACACACACTGGGGTCTACTTTGGAGGCAGGAAGGGGAGGAGCAGAAAACATAACTTTTGGGTAATGGGCTTCATACCTGGGCAATGAAATAATATGTACAACAAACCCCTGTGACGCATGTTTAGTTATGTAACAACACTTCATATATACCCCGAACCTAAAATTTAAAAAAATAATAAAGTTTTTTTTTTTTATTTTTGAGATGGAGTTTTGCTCTTCACTCTTATTACCGAAGCTGGAGTGCAACGGCACAATCTCGGCTCACCACAACCTCCGCCTCCCAGGTTCAAGTGATTCTCCTACCTCAGCCTCCGGAGTAGCTAAGATTACAGGCATGCGCCACCACACCCGGCTAATTTTGTATTTGTAGTAGAGATGGGGTTTCTCCATGTTGGCCAGGCTGGTCTTGCACTCCTGACCTCAGGTGATCTGCCGGTCTCAGCCTCCCAAAGTGCTGGGATTACAGGCAGGAGTCACCACGCCCGGCCCAAAAAGATTTTTAAAGAGAATTCTGGGTGTGCTTACTTTAAAAAAAAATAAACAGCAAATGATCCCTTTTTTCACTGCTTTGGAAACCAGTCTTGACTCTAGACAAAACAAAACTAGAAACAGCTCTTTGTCTGATGAAAGTGACTCAGACACTAATAAAACTGATGATTTCTTCAGTTTGCAGAACAGGGAGTTGGGAGCTTTGATGACTTTGTTCAAACTATTTCTGGATTTGGTCACTTTCAGTTTTCATATACTGTCAGATGTAAGTAACTTATAGACCCCAAAATTATATCACACTTTTGCATTAGAAACCATACCAAAAACAAGAACAACTGGCAATACTCAAATTAACAAAGAAGATGATATTTTAGGGCCACACTGAACTGTGAGCACAGATGTCTACCTGACCTCTGACAGTTGGAGATGGGCCCTTGCCCAGCTCTCTGGGAAGAAGATCTGCAGAAGCCAGCTGCTGCCTGTCCCTGTGATGGATGCCGGCATGGTGGGGGCACCTACACCGTCACATCACTTGCAGGCCTTGTTCCTCTAATGACTTACATCAAGAGCTTGCAGATACTTTATATCTGTGGATCCTGTTATAATCTGTACACAATGGCATTGTGCACAATGCCAGTTACCTGATAAAGCAAAACCATTATGGACAAACAGAAAACATGCAGATGCCTACCTAAGTGCAGGATGCAAGGAAGCATCACTCACTTTCACTCTCCCAGGAACAGCTCAGCCCAGCCTGGTCCAGCTCAGCACAGCACAGCACAGCACAACTGAGCCCAGCACAGCTGTCTTCTGTCTAACTAAAAGGCAACATTTTGCTGTATCTTGAGCATGAGCAGTCTTCTGTAACATGCAAAGAGTCCCAGGGGCACCCAACCAGTCACATTTTAAAGAGAGACCTGCGGAAGTAAAATCAATTTGTTGTAGCTCCAGTGTTCAGCGGAACAGATATTTATGGAGGTTTAGGGCAATATTCTTTGATGTAGTTAGTCTCATGTTTTCTGACTTACAAAAGAGATAAGAAACAATATGGTAGAATTTAAAACAAACAAACACATGAATAACAACATTCAGCTGTATCTGTCAAATGAGATGGGACATGAAAGTCTTCATCCAGCATATGGCAAAGCCTAGACAAAGTATGTAGGAAATGTGTGTGTGTGTGTGCGCGTGCATGCGTGCGTACACGTGTGTGTGTCTGTGTGTGTAGGGCCATGGGATATAAGAAATGCAAAGGAAAAGAAAAATCATACTGATCCAGTTTCCTCCTATTATGATCTGCTAGGTTTACTAAAAAAGAGTTAAATTTGGTTGTTTGCTTTTGTGCTAGGATTTCATTTTAGGATGATCATTGACAAGTAATACACATGATATTTCCATCTGTAACCTCTTTGGGTCCCTGTAATAATAACGGGTAAGTATTGTCTTTTAAACTTCTCCAAGAATGCAACCCTACAGTGATATTTTTAAATTAATGAGACATAAATTTGAAAAACCATGTAGCCAAAGAAAATAAAAATAACTTAAGAATCTACTCCCCTCCTCCCAAATGAAGACCAAGATGATGGAGAAGAGAATAAAAGAAACACAACAAACGAACTGTTTCCAGTTTCTACCTGGGATCCTGTACCTTTTGACTTATTATTTCATGGAAAATAGAAGTGAAATCAAAGAGTGATTTTCCATGAATCCTTTTTCATATTTTCTAAACTTTGTTCTGTAGAACTAAAAATGCACCTTGAAACACTAATGGGTGTTTTTTTGGGAAAAAAAGTTTCAATGGTCCAAATCCATGTTGGTAATGCTTTTATGCTGTACCTGGTCTTGGAGAGAGGGCATATGAAAAGTTCTGAGAAGTCCACAGAAACCTATTTTTGTGAACTGTGCTTTTAACCCAGAATTCCTCACAATTATTTTACCATGGACACCCACCATCCCTTTTATAATGGAGGTCTGGCTTACATAATTAGTTGGGAAGAACAAGTTACAGTGTTCTATAACACTGTCAGATGGCTCTGGCTAACAAAAACATATAGTTTTGAATAACTAGAAGGAGGATATTGAATGTTTCCCAAACAAAAAATATATAAATAAATGTTAGAGATGATGGTGCTAATTACCCTGATCTGATCACTGTACATTCTATGTATAAACACATTATGTACCCCATAAATATGTACAATTATTATTTGTGAAATAAAATTTTTAAAAAAGAAAAAGGAAACTTGGTGGCTCACGCCTGTAATCCCAGCACTTTGGGAGGCCGAGGTGGGCAGATCACCTGAGGTCAGCTGTTCGAGACCAGCCTGGCCAACATGGTGAATCCCCGTCTCTGCCAAAAATACAAAAATTAACCGGGCATGGTGGCACACGCCTGTAATCCCAGCTACTCGGGAGGCTGAGGCAGGAGAATTGCTTGAGCCCGGGAGACGGAGGTTGAGGTGAGCCAAGACTGTGCCACTGCACTCCAACCTGGCCAACAGAGCCAGACTCTGTCTCAAAAAAAAAAACTGTTATTATTTTAATATGCATTAAAATTTCCACCTGGATAAAAATAACACAACCACATATAACCAATTCCCTTAAAGTATGAACTCTCCTTATCTCCTCACTGATGTCTGGAGCAATGATTTCACAATCATAAACTTTTCTGTGCTGCAGTGCTGATAAAGTTTAAGACAGACCTTTTGTTCCTAATAACATCTCTAGTGGTATTTTTATTTTCCCTGTGCTTTCCTGGTTCTCAGAATGTGACCTTTGTCTATTCGTGTCTTTTGATGATTATGGGCATGAAGAGACTTAGATATGGAGAGAGAAAGATAATTTCCCTGGGCCACAGGAATAAGTATGACTAAGTATATAGGGAAGATTATACATCTTGAAATCTAGTTTCCCCTGGCACCATCATTACTGCTGCCGATACCACTCCATGAAGTCAGGGAGCTTACTGAAACTAGTTAATAATAAAACAAAGATCAAAAAAAGTAAACAAACAAACAAAACCCTATTCTGTCTACCTTATTCTATTTCTGGCTAAATACATTTGACACTACCAATTTGCATTCATTATATTTGATATATACACCTATGCCCAATCATTCAATTGTAGCCTACTTACAAATTTAGCCTACAGCAAAACAGTTAGAATTCATGCCCGTAGCATAGCTAGCTGGGGGTGATTTGGGTTCTGATAATATCAACATACTTAAAAGTGCATTGACTGTATTATAGATAAGTCCAAATGCTACACAGGCAAAATACCAGAAGAGAGAAACAACTTGAGAATGGTTGATAGTTTTGCTTATTTCTTTGTTCATTTGTGATAATGGCTGCTTTTTGATGGCAGGAGTGTGTTGGTGCAAGAAATCTGTATGTTTTTGGAGATCAGCAGTTAAGGAGACTTAATATTAGGGAATGCTTTTTTGCTTCCTTGTGAAGGCAAATTGAATACTTCCAGTCTCCTTTACTTAATCGATGTCTATTTGGGGCAAAGATTTTTGTCTGAGTGGAAGGAAGCTGGCAAACACTCCCATGAAATGCTACCCATGACAAAGTCAGAGGCATTTCCTGCTAAACATCCTAGAAGGAAGGAAGTGGAATTAGATAGGTTGGCCAAATTAGGCAGTGAGCATTAGGGAAATAGGGTTTTCTTTTTTTAATTTCAACTTTTTATTTTAGATTCAGGGAGTATTTGTGCAGATTTGTTACAAGGGGTTATTGCAGGATGCTGGAGTTTGGGTTACAAATGATCTCATGTCCCAGGTAGTGGGCACAGTACCCAATAGGTAGTTTTTCAACCTTTGCCCCCTTCCCTTCCTCCAAACTCTTGGAGTCCCCAGTGTCTATTATTTCCATCTTTATGTCCATACGTACCCAATGTTTAGTTCCTGCTTATAAGTGAGAACATGCAGTATTTGATTTTCTGTTTCCATATCAGTTAGGATAAAGGCCTCAAGCTGCATCCGTATTGCTGTAAAGGACATGATTTTGTTCTTCCTGTGTGGCTGCATAGTATTCCATGGTGTATATGTACCACATTTTCTTTATCCAGTCCACTGTTGATGAACACCTAGGTTGATTCCATGTCTTTGCTATGGTGAATAGTGCTGTGATGAACATATGAGTGCATGTTTCTTTTTGGTAGAATGACTTATTTTTCTTTGGGCATATACCCAGTAATGGGATTGCTGGGTTAAATGGTAGTTCTATTTTTAGTTCTTTGAGCCATCTCTAAACTACTTTCTCCAAAACGAAGCAACATACATTTCAAGGGGCTGGCATCTAATATTTGCCTTGTGGCTTTCCAATCAGTCCTCTTATGTCTGATCTAAGTTAGAAGTAGGTCCTTTTCTCAGGAAACTCACAATTTCACATTTCCTAATTTTTGCCCCAATCCAAAATAAAGGCAGTGCTAGATGGATTTATTAATGGTCATTTTCTTATAAGGACTAGTAACATTTAGCTCATGCCTCTCAGGCAAGTTTTATTTATTTATTTTTTGTTGGGGTTTGCTTCTGTGGTGCTGCATCTTCAGAAGTTACTAACCAGATTTTGAGACCTTAAAACCTTTAGGTAGAAAGACAGAAATGCCTCTGTTCGGCCACAGCAGCAGTAAGTCCATACATCCCCTCTAACTTTAAGAATCTACTCCACTTAGAATAATAGTCTCCAATCTCATCCATGTCGCTGTGAACACCATTCATTCATTCCTTTTTACGACTGAGTAGTATTCCATCATATATACATATATACACACACACACACACACACACACACCACAGTTTCTTTATCCACTCATTGATTGATGGCCATTTGGGTTGGTTCCACGTTTTGCTCACTCATAAGTGGGAGCTAAGCTATAAGGATGCAAAAGCGTAAGAATGACACAGTGGACTTTGGGGACTCAAGGGAAAAGAGTGGAAAGGGGGTGTGGGATAAAAGATGACAAATTGGGGGCAGTGTATACTGCTCAGGTGATGGCTGCACCAAAATTTCACAAATCAACACTAAAGAGCTTACTCGTGTAAGCAAACACCACCTGTTCCCCAGTGACCTATAGAAATAAAAAAGTTAATTAAAAAAACAATCTACTCCCACTTAACAATCCATGAAAGTTGAGACAATCCCAAATATTTGAATGTACCAACATATTGTCTGGCATTCAATAAAAATTTCTGAATGAAAGTGGGGAAGGATTGACTAATTTTAGAGCATTTTTCAATCTTTCAGTTTCTTTACAAAATTGAATGTGGTACTCCCATGAACACATGCACACACACTTTAAAATAATTGAGTCAATTTGAGCCTCCCTAATGAAGTTAAAAGGCCCTTCTGGACTATTTCCAGTAAAGCAAATCCCATTTATTTTGATGAGGTTTTTAAAATATACCTTTCCTCTTTAAATAAATAACCCTATTCAGTTACAAACTAAATGACATTAATTACTCCTTAGGTAGAAATTCTACTTGCTTATTTATAGAAATTCCAAAGTGATCTATATCTTAAATAGTTTGCTCTCTGTGTGAGTTTCAGGATTTCTACCGTGGTCATACAATTTAATCACACATGCATTTTTATATCATTTAGGGGAAAGAGAATAAGAAGATGTCTGAAAAGTGAAATTCTAAATTACACAATTGCTTTGAGGAGAAAGAAAAGAAGTAGTTCCAAAAATCAGTGAAATTAGAGTGATATTTAGGAATGCTTGAATAAAGTCCCAAATTTGTTTTCAAGATCTTGTGCCTGGAATCTTTAAAAGTGGCAAAGGGGGAATTGAAAAGCAATTGATTAGAAAGGAGGAGCCAGAGGTCAACCCCCCACATGACTGGATCAGTAAGTATGTAGGATCAACAAACTGAAGTAAATGCTCATGGCTTTTGTAGTTAGTCAATTGTGATTCCCCAGTGCCTAAAACTTGGAAATGAGGGAGCAAGCCAACAGCAGAGAACTGCCGTGGTCCACCTGAGATGCTGCAGCCATCCTTGGGTTTCCCATGAGTCCTTCTGAGCAGATAAGGCCTTCCTTTCAAAAGAGCATTGCTATGTAATGGAGTCTATTCAATCCTCCACAGCAGGGTAAAGAACACAATATTAGTGCCATATCATTTTTCTCCATTGTCTATGAAATATTTGAAGTGGAAATGGCTTATTTCAACACCAGAGACCATGCGGGAAATGACCTATGTAGTGGATAAGTTGACAGGCACAGTGGGGAATTTCATTACACCTTAGACTTTGACTGGCACGAACAGCTCACTCTGGGCTCTCCCTAACCTCTGGCAAGTGCTTGGAATTGAATCTGTAAATGTTAATCAATATTTTAGGCCTATTAAATAAAGAAAGGCATTGTGAAAAATCAAAGTACTAATGGCCAGTCTGGCTCTGTGAAGGTCTGTTCAGCTGTCAGAAGCTTGATATCTAGCAAGGGAGAATATATTTTCATAAAATTCTTTCAAATTTATATAAAATACAATGTCTTTGTTCTACCACAGTACATATAATATCAGTGCCTCAGAATATTTAAAATTGTTAAACAAGACTGTTCTTATTCCTTTCTGCAAGCACTCAGAATTAATATCCTTTAAACATACTGTGGAAAAAGATCATTTTGAGAAAATCTTCAGTCATTTAAAATTTTTGCAAAGAAGTCATATCATACCATTCCTATACTTATTCTCCAAGGTAACAATAACAAAATTTAGGTGTATGTAGGAGCTAAATTTAAAACATAAATGTATAGAAGCATTAAAATATATATATTAGGAGCTGGGAACACTTTCTTATAAAAGATACAAAATTAAAACCATGAGGGAAAAACCCAATTTGAATAAATTAAATTAAAATTTCTTCATGAAAAAATAAGCAATAAATTTAAAATGATCTATCCTCATGGGAGAAAATATTTTAAAACTACACATCAACCAAAGAAATTAGTCCCTGAAATATGTAAGCAGTTCTAATAAACATAGAAAAATTAGGTAAAGAAATAGCAATTAAGGGAATATTCAGACATGAGTAAAATATATAAGATAATGCTTGTTCTTATAAGTAATTAAAAATTTTAACAATGGATATCATTTATGTTGTTTAAACAGATAAGCATTAAGTAATAATAATTGATAATATTCATTATTGACAAGGATATGAAGAAATGGACATACTAGTATTGGTGTAAGTGAAATTGACATTGCACTGCAGGACAATCAGAATTTAAAATGACCATACTTATTCATAAATCTTCAAGACACTTTGTTGAGTGAAAAAAACAAAGTATTTATATGATCTCATTTATATTTTTAAAAAAGCAAAAAATACAAAAACAGCCATGTTTATCCACACAAATAATAAATAACTTTCAAGTTACATATGCAACCAAGAAGAGAGAGGGCAAACACAGTGGCCTTTACATTCCAATCTATACACATTTGTAATTCTTGGATCTTACACAAGAATCTATTTATTGTTATTGTGTAATTTTACATACCATTCCTTTAAAGAGTAAACTATAGAAAATTGTGAATGTAACATGTCTTTCTAAGTAGGACTGCTAAAATATGTCATTGGCCTTGTTCTGTTTAAAAAACTAAAACATGTTTATTTGACCCATAATAGAGAAAATATTCTAAAAAATATGTCCTGTTTTTAGGTTATTATTTAGCTACCAAAAAGGGATTCAAAAGGAGAAAAAAAAGGTAATCTCTAAAACTACCAAGACTCCACATATGAGTTTTATATACCCTTGTATACATTTTGAATGCTAATGGATAATGAAAACAGAAAAATAGAATATTCCATGCAGCTCATTTCTTTAAACAGATGGGTACCTAAAATTTAGGTCAACTTTCTAGGTGGCCTTTTTTTAAGAGAGGTAATTTTAGACTTCAGTTGAGCTAAGAGAAAAAATGTGTAAGAATATGCAGGCTATGAATTAATGGTCAAGTTTTCTTGCATGGGATTTTCCAAAAGCATGGATATAGCCACTGGAACATAGAAAAATCCGAAGTGATAAAGTCAATTTAGCATCACTAAGTCAGCAAAGTCAATTCTGATATCACATTTTAGACATTCGAAATAGAAGTCTGAAAATACACAGAACTTGAAAACTGGTGAAGAATTTAGAGAAAAATATATAATTTCTATAATACTTTTTAGATAAATTAGTATCAGCTGGATTTAGAAAATAAAAATACAGGCCAGGCACAGTGGCTCACGCCTGTAATCCCAGCACTTTGGGAGGACAAGGCGGGCAGATCACGAGGTCAGGAGATCGAGACCATGCTGGCTAACATGGTGAAACCCCGTCTCTACTAAAAATACAAAAAAATTAGCCGGGTGTGGTGGTGGGTGCCTGTAGTCCCAGCTAATTGGGAGGCTGAGGCAGGAGAATGGCGTGAACCCGGGAGGCGGAGCTTGCGGTGAGCCGAGATGGCGCCACTGCACTCAAGCCTGGGCCACAGAGCAAGACTTTGTCTCAAAAAAAATAAAATAATAAAATACAAAAAATAGCCGGGCTGGGTGGGGCACGCCTGTAATCCCAGCTACTTGGGAGGCTGAGGCAGGAGAATCACTTGAGCTAGGGAGGTGGAGGTTGCGGTGAGCCAAGATTATGCCAGTGCACTCCAGCCTGGGCAACAAGAGTGAAACTCCATCTCGAAAAAAAAAATACAATATTACAAATATTTAAAAATATATGTAAAAAATATTTAAAAATATATATAAAAATATATCTAAAAAAGTGTTTTTTAGCTTGACACAAAAGTCAGAGAATAAAAAAGAGGATGAATTGTTTTGATTAAATATGATTTTAGGACTCATTGTACAATAAAAATACTAAAGGACGAATTAAAAACCAAAAAATCATGTGTAATATAAACAAACAAGTAGTTTTAATATATAATGTGATCTCACAAAAACAGGAAGAGAGAAAGGAGTGCTAATAGAAAAAATCTGCCGAGGACATTAGCAGGCAATTCACACAAACCCAAAAAGTGAGTGTATTAAAAGGATGCAACCTCACCAGTACAACAATGAAATTTCAAATAACAAGGTACCCTTTTATATTAGCAAAAGTAATGTGTGCATGTGTGTGTGTATATGTGTGTGTATATGACAGAGAGAGAGAATGTGGTATTTCAGAGATCCATTGCCTTTTACTTTTCTTCCGAATGTAATTATTACCTTCAGAATTATTAAAGGAATTATTAGCCTTCAAACATGCTTAATTCTCTTATAAAAAGAAATATTGATTAGTCTTTAAAAAACCCATAAAACTCCCTTGTTCCTAATTTCCTCTCTTGTTACTATTCTATCATATTTTCTTCACCATTTGATAAACTTCTTGAAAAGTCTTCATCTTACTGGACTTTTCTTTTCTCTTGACTTTTGAAACACTACACACACCTGGTTTTCCTCCCCCATCTCTGGCCACATTTTCCTTCTCCTTTTAAGGCTTATCAACTTTACTTGGCTGTTAAAAATGTGGAAATTTCTCCTGACTCAGTCCTGAGTCTTTTTCTCATCTTCCTTTATATTTTTTGTCTATGGTAACTCAACCAAATTGCAGGTGACTCCTAAATGTACATGCACAGTCAATGTTTTTCTACTCAGAGCTCTGGATTTGTAAATCAAAACTGCAGTTTAATATCTTCAATGATCTTTGATCTTCCAGTATTACCGATTTCAGTGCCTACTGCCAATCGCTCAGTTTTGAGAGTTAGAAACCTAAAAGCTGTCCTTGCTCTCTCTCTTTTCTTTACCACCCCATCCAAACCATCACAAAATAATGTCCTAGAAACCTAATATGTGCATCTCTATCATTGTCCCCTTTCCTGTAGTTCAAGCCACCATTAGCCCTTACCTAGAGTGTTAGAATAGCTTCCTGATTTCCAGTGCTTTCATTCATGTGCCAATATCAGCATGATGTTTTCAAAACATATTGCATTATGTCAACCCCAGCTTTAGTGTCTTCCATTGTTTTCAGAATGATGATCAAATTTCCTAACATGTTATCTTAGTCTGTTTTGTGCTGCTCTAACAGAATACCAGAGATGTGGCAACTTATCAGAAAGAAATATATTTCCTATTATTCTAGAGGCTGTGAAGTCTAATAACAAGATGCTGGCATCTGCCCAGGGCCTTCTTGCAGTGTCATTCGATGGCAGAAGTCAAGAGGATAAGAAGTGGTGAGGAGAGCAGTGCAGAACTCATCCTTTCATATGGAACCCACTTCCAAGATGAGGAACTCACTCCTACAATAACATCATTAATCCATTCATAAGAGCAGAGCCCTCATAACCTAATCACCTCTTGTAGATCCCATTTCTCAACACTGTTGCATTGAGGATTGAGTTTCCAACACATGATCTTTCGAGGACACTTTCAAACCATAGTGCTCTAAAAGCTATGAGTGGTCTGGCTCCCACAGAGCCTCTTGCCATTCTAACTTGTCTGTAAATCAGTGATTTCCTAAGTGTAATTTCTGAACCAGCAGCATCAATATCACCTGGCAATTTCCTAGAAATGCAAATCCTCCAGACCTACCGCAAACCTACTAAATCAGAAACTCTTCATGGAAAGGACCAGCAGTGTGTGATTTAGCCGGCCCTCCTAACAATTATGTAATGTGATAAAGTTTGACAACCAGAGCTTCAGATCTCTGTGCTCCAGACACCTTGGCCTTTCCTTCTGGATTTTCTCCCTTCTACCTCCAGGCCTTTATGCCTTCTGTTCCCTCTACCTGACATTCTTTTTCTCTACCCTTTGAAATAGTAACCTCCTATTCTTCTTTCAGATCATAGCACATTTATCCTCCAGTGAAATCTCCCTTTTGGAATCCGTCAAAGCAGTATCCCACTTTTTAATAAGATTCACCGCAAATCTTTAGTCTTTTTTTTTTTTTTTTTTTTTTTGAGACAGAGTCTCACTCGGTCTCCAGGCTGGAGTGCAGTGGCGCGATCTCGGCTCACTGCAACCTCTGCCTCCCGAGTTCAAGCTATTCTCCTGCCTCAGCCTGCCGAGCAGCTGGGATTATAGGCACGCACCACCATGCCCAGCTAATTTTTGTATTTTTGGTAGGGATGGGGTTTCACCATGTTGGCCAGGATAGTCTCCATCTCCTGACCTCCTGATCCACCTGCCTTGGCCTCCCAGAGTGCTGGGATTACAGGCATCTTTAGGTATTTTTTAAATGCCTGTGTGATTCTTTTCTGCCTCCCCCAAAAGGATGTAAGTGAGTGATGGCTAGTGGATCACCTGAGGTCGGGAGTTCAAGACCAGCCTGGCCAATATGGTGAAACCCCGTCTCTACTAAAAATACAAAAATTAGCTGGGAGTAGTGGTGGGTGCTTGTAATCTCAGCTACTTTGGACACTGAAGTAGGAGAATCGCTTGAACCTGGGAGGCGGAGGCTGCAGTGAGCCAAGATCATGCCACTGCACTCCAGCCTGGGCAACAAGAGCGAAACTCCGTCTCAAAAAAAAAACAAAAAAAAAAAACCTTAACTGATTTATAATAACTTTATTTACATATTTATGTATATACAATTAAGAATATATAATTAGTATTACATATTAATTATGTCTATAAAATTATATGTATATATACACACACATATATATAATTAAGAACACAGATTATTATAACAGCACCCAGATATAGAAGCAAACTATTATTAGCAGCCCGGAAGGCCCCTTCTTGCTACTTCTAGTTAGAACCTTCTAAGAGTAACAACTACCTTAATGTTTAACAGTATAGCTTGTTCTTTTTTCTATTTTTCTATACTTTATATAAATGGAGCCAAATATTATATACTGTCTAGGGTCTTGCTTGAAAAGTATGTTTGTTATCAGGCTGGTACAAAAGTAATCACAGTGTTTGCAATTACTTTTTTTAAAAAAGATAAAAACTGCAATTACTTTTACACTATCCTAATAGTTTCACCCATATTACTGCACATAGTCATAAACAAGCCCATCTCAATGTCACATAATATTTCATCATGTGAATAAATAAAGTTTGTTTATTCATTCCACTATCATTGGGAGTTTTGGTAGCTTCACATCGGGGCATATTAAAATTATCCTTGCCGTTCTACATCTTTACCAACATTTATATTTTCTTATTTTGACCACTTGTAGTGGTGAATGCTAATATAGTTTTTATTAGAATTTGTCTGATGAATGATAAAGCCAAATGTCTTTTGAACATTGAATGGGATTTTAAGCACTGAATTCATCTTTCCAGGGTTTAATTTTACAAGGTAAAATAATGAGTTTAATATAAATAATATTATATCCTTAAATCAATAAAATAATATTACTAACTACTTACATTATCTATCATCTATCTAGCTATCCATGTATCTATCCACCTACCTGCCCATCTATCTATTTATAGATACAGACAGAGAGACAGAATATATTTCTATCTAGATGTGTGTGTGTATATATATATACACACATATATATACACATATACATATATACACACACACACATATACATATATACACACACACACATATACATATATATATATACACACACACACATATACATATATACACACACATATACATATATATATACACACACACACAAGAACATCTCCTGGTATGTTGAAAAATATCTTAAAATAGTCTACTTTTTAGACCAAGACCGTTTTGGTTCATCATTTCATTACTTCCAATAGTGTCAGGATGGTATAATTATTTCTTACATTGGAATCCTCAACAACGTTGGCAATGACACCATCAGAAAAGACAGCACCTGTTCATTTGAAAAACTGCCATGGAAAAGGAAAATCATTGCTGTCTTCTCTCCCACAATTCCAGGAAGTCCAGGGCAAAGATTCTCATTCATTTAGCTCTTATTTAGACACATCATGTTTTATGGACCCTAGGCAAACTCAAAGATTTCTTTTTTTATTAGGCAACTGGGATTAAATAAATATTGTGGCTAAACTCATTTGCAAAATTACAATGGAAGGTAAGCCAAGGAGTCCCTCCTATTGAGAAAAATAGGGCATAAATATGTTTATAAGACACTGGCTACATGAGATTGGAGCTTACATTCATTCAGACTGGTTTCTTGGTTATCACTGAAATCTGTGCATGGGGAATTACAATAGTTGGAATGGTTTTATTAACCTCCCCATGAGAAAATCAAAGCTTTTACTAACCTACTTATTAATATCAGAGCCACAAATCTGCCTAGAAATATTATTTCCAACCACACAATCTTAAATAATTCAGTCTCCATTACCACCTCTTCAGTTGGAGCTCTTACTCTTACCTGGAAAAATGCAATCTCTACGTTTCTGGTCACTTACAAGTCACATTCCCTCCACGCATTTCAGCCACATTAACTTTCTAGATCCACAACCCCAATTTACCCTCTCCCAGAAACTTGCAATGTAATGCAAAATTAATGTCTGTGCTATCGCCTGCATCTATTCTCTAAATATAACATCAGTTGACTTTCCACTGTATTCTCAATTTTCCTCTTTCTATTGAAAGATAATCTCAACCTCTCTCTAATGGGCAAGTTGAACCTGCCTTTAAGGCCAATCTCCAATGCCGTATTTTTCAATAAAACTTCCTGGGTCCTTCTAGCTGATCATAATCTCTCACAGTTTAAATTTAGCATCACCTATATTCCTCATGGAATTCAACATATTTTACTTAACTTTATAGTTATTTTTTAGAATCTTAAAGTTTCCTTAAATCTCGTGTATTCTAGTCTCTTGTATATTGATTCAATACATTCTATTAGTCTGCAAAATCCTGTTCAAGAGTCTAGTACATTTCTAGACAGACTTTCTATTCAGTCTCACTATAAATACCTTAGTTCGTATTTTAATTAAATGTTAAAATATTGATATTAATATATCTGCTATAGACAAAGAATTTATGGAGTCATGAAAGCATAGTAATAAACTGAGCATCCATGACCTTAGCACACAGCTAAAGGACTCAAGTATTATCAAGATCTTACTTCTTTCTATGTGTTTCTCCCTGCTTTTCTCCCAGAGGTAAACATTACCCTGACTTTCTTTCTTTCTTTTTTTTTTTTTGAGACACAGTTTCACTCTGTCGCCCAGGCTGGAATACAGTGGCTTGGTCTTGGCTCACTGCAGCCTCCACCTCCCAGGTTCAAACAATTTTCAGGCCTCAGCCTCCTAAGTAGCTGGGACTACAGGTGCATGCCACCATGCCTGGCTAATTTCTCTATTTTTAGTAGAGATGGGGTTTCACCATGTTGGCTAGGCTGGTCGTGAACTCCCGACCTCAGGTGATCCACCCACCTCAGCCTCCCAAAGTGCTGGGATTACAAGCATGAGCCACTGTGCCCAGCCTATCCTGACTTTTGCGAAAATCACTACTTTGTTCTCATCTTCGATTTATTAACCATGGTTATAACCGTAAATAATATAATATTTTGTCTTGGCATTTTTAGAGCCTAACAAACAGAATCAAACTACATATTCTTCTGGAACTTACATCTTGCACTCAAAGTTATGAGCCACTTCTCTCCCTGTTTGCTTGTTCTACTGTTGTTTGGTCCTTGGGATGGTTTCTAGTTTTCTGAAATTATGATGGATGCTGGTATGAACGTTCCTGTATATATCTCCTGAGGCATACACCTGAGTATCTCTAGGAGACATATATCTATGTAGATATGTATCTCATAGCCTGTGTGTATAAATCAGGGTGTCAGCTCTCACCCAGCCACATCCTAACTAGGGTGTTTCATCTGCTGTACAGTCTTTGAGTACAGAGGGGTGCCTACAGGCATCCTTTATCCTGTGTACCCCATCCCACCAGACTCACAGAAGTCACCCCCTCTTCCTTGGGCTCTGCCCCCATGAGTCAGGCAGTCCTCTGGGGATGGCTGTGCCTTCATTTCTCAGGGCTTCAAGATCAACATTCCACCACATCAATAGGCCCCCTGCTCAATTTCCTCTCTTATCTCTGATGCTTTGGGTGACACTGTGCTTTCCTGGGTCTTTGTTTAGGCCACGCTGCATGAGGAATGCATGTTCCTTGTGTGGATGAAGTGGCTTTCCTTGGTCTTCAGGAATGCATGTCCATTGTTTGAATGAGGTGGCTCTTCCTGCCTTGCCCATGGGCCCCTATCCATCTTCCTTACTAGACAGTGTGTGTAAGGCAGGGGTGAGATCCACATGAGAAGTGATCACATTTAGAAGTTTATTTTTTCTTATTTTAATTTGAATAGCTTTAGGGGTGAAAATGGTTTTTGGTTACATGGATGCATTGTATAGTAGATGCATCTGGGCTTTCATTGTACCCCTCACCTGAATAGTGTACATGGTACCAATAGGTGATTTTCTATCCCTCAGCCCCCTCCTACCCTCCCTGCTTCTGAGTCTTCAGTGTCCACTATACCATTCTGTAGGCTTCTGTGTACCCATAGCTTAGTTCCCACTTGTGAGAGCATGTGGTGTTTGGTTTTCCATTCCTGAGTTACTTCACAAAGGATAATGACCTCCAGTTTCATTCAAGTTTCTGCAAAAGACATTATTTTGTTCTTTTTTTAGGGCTGAGTAGTATTCCATGGTGTATACATACTGTTTTTTAAATCCACTCCTTGGTTGATAGACACTTAGATTGGTTCCATATCTTTGCAATTGTGAATTCTTCTGTGATAAACATATACATGCAAGTGTCTTTTTTATATGGTAACTTCTTTACCTTTTGGTAGCTATCCAGTAGTAGGATTGCTGGATTGAATGGTAGATCTACTTTTAGTCCTTTGAGAAAGCTCCAAAATGCTTCCTATAAAAGTCGTACTAATTTACATTCCCACCAGCAGTGTATTAGCATTCCCTTTTCACCACATTCATGACAACATCTATTGTTTCTTGACTTTTAATAATGGCCGTTTTTGGCTGGGGTAAGGTAGTATCTCCCTGTTATTTTAATTTGTATTTCCCTGATGATTAATGATGTCGAACATTCTTTCATATGCTTTTTGGCCATTTGTATACTTCTTTTGAGAAACATCTGTTCATTCCATTTGCCCACCCTTTTTTTTATTTTTTTTATTTTATTTTTTTTATTTTTTTTTTTTTTGAGATGGAGGCTTGATCTGTTGTCCAAACTGGAGTGCAGTGGTGCGATCTGGGCTCACTGCAACCTCCACTTCCCTGGCTCAAGCAATTCTCCTGCCTCAGCCTCCCGAGTAGCTGGGATTACAGGCGCATGCCACCACGCCCAGCTAATTTTTTTGTATTTTTAGTAGAGATGGGTTTCACCATGTTGGCCAGACTGGTCTTGAACTCCTGATCTCAGGGCAATCTGCCTGCCTCTGCCTGCCAAAGTGCTGGGATTACAGGTGTAAGCCACCTCGCCTGGCCTGTTTGCCCACTTTTAATGGGATTATTATTTTTTTCTCACAGATTTGTTTGAATTCCTTGCACATTCTGGATATTAGTTCTTTTACATTTAGGAATTTCTTGATAATGATCCAAGGAGTTCAAGAAAATACATGGTGAGATCTGTTGGTCTAGTTTTATACTACAAAATTTTGAACAGTAAATTAAAACATAAAACATGAGCATGAATCAAATGATTGCTAACACTTTCCTTCACATTCTGGGTCATCATCAATGAAGCACAATAAAAAACCTTGAGAAAATCATTGGAAAAAATATTTTTGGGAGGTGCAAAAGATGAGGCAGCATCCTGAGTAATGATGCCACCAGCCTTTAACAAAGGGTCTTCGAGAACTTCAGAGGCAACACTATTTGTTTTAATACAAACAGTTTCCAAAGAGCTGAGCATTATAAGCAAAAGAGTTAGTGGTGGATACAAGGTGAGCCAGGAATCACACATTGGTCAAAGCAAACATTAGCAGTGGTTCTCAGAGCTGACTATGAGGAGAGATGCCTGAATGCTGTAAAAAGAACTTCACATACCCTGACTGGATAATAAGCAAGTCTGTAAGAGTCTCTTCTTTACTCATCATTGTGAATATTTATCAGTAACTCACAATACCGCATGAGGACCAATCAATTTTTTATTACAGTTTTAATCACATTGGTCTTCACAAAGAATATTTGCTGGGGAAAGCCCCGTTTATAGGCTTTTGCTATGTGTTTATGTCCCTCTCTTTTTTTTTTTTTTTTGAGAAAGGATATCAGTCTGTCACCCAGGCTGGAGTATAGTGGGACAATCTCAGCTCACTGTAACCTCCACCTCCTGGGTTCAAGTGATTCTCCTGCTTCAGCGGCCCAAGTAGCTGAGTCTACAGATATGCACCATCATGACCAGCAATTTTTTTGTATTTTTTGATAGAGTCGGGGTTTTGCCATGTTAGCAAAGGCTGATCTCAAACTCCTGACCTCAAGTAATCCACCCGCCTCAGCCTCCCAAAGTGTTGGGATTACAGGCATGAGCCACCGTGCCCGGCCGCGTTTATGTCTCTTATTCCCTCTTCTGTAATTTTCTTTGTTTCTCTCGTTTCATTGTGGTTATTTTCTTCTGACTTCATTTCCAGATCATTACTTCAGTGTTCTGTGTTTTTAATCTGCTGTTAAAACATTGTTTGATATCCTAAGTTGGTTTATTTCATTTTATAGTTTAATAATGTCTATTTGGAACTTCTCAAAATTTTCCACGTCTTTTTGCTTGTCGACTTTTTCTGAGATTTTCAACTTGACTTTTTTCTCCTCAAGCACAGTTGTCACACTACTTCATGCATTATTATGTCCCTAATAACTCCAATATATGGGCCCATTTGTGCAATTTCTATTTTGTGGTTCATTTTGCTCATTTTTTCATGTACCTGGTTGTTTTTTCTTGTTTTGGCAGAGCTATTTGTTTGAAACATTCTTTTTAGATATAATTTGAGGGTGAGATTGGTAGATTTTGATTTATTTCTGGAAGACACACAGGGGGCACTGACAATCAGGAATCACCTTCTCCACTTTGGGGTTCAGAAGTTTTTGAAATTGAGTTGCAATCCCTTGCTTGGGCCCCTCTATTTCTGGAGCAGGTGTGTTTTGTTTTGTTGTTTTTGTTTTTGTTTTTGTTTTTTCAGTGATTCAAACTTCAGAGACTTAACACAAAGCATGAGGGGTCTCTCAGCATCGACACTTGGGCCAGCTCTATATTCAAACTTTTCCTTGCGTAACACTGGGAATGTATCAAAAATCTCAGGGGCTCAGCTATTCACTGATCTTTTCAGATTGGAAAACAGTCATCCCCAGTGGTCAGACCCACATCTCTGGGTGTCAGCCATCTTCTCCTAGATCTAAGCTTGGAAAACAGTTTCCAGATTTCCTTGGTAGGAGGACTAGTCCGAATTTCTGACCCACCATTATAAGAAACAGAAATCCTTATTTACTTTCATGAAAAAGCCTGGGAAGTAGGATTTATTCTCTGCAGCATTATCAATCAAAAACTGAGATTCAGAATTTTTAAGTGACTTGTCTGAAGTCACACAGTGTTAAGTGACAGGGCCATGACTCAAATAATATTTTCCTATACTTATTTCCTTACACTTTTCTCCATACTAGACATAGTCCCATAATACTCTAGCTGGATCTTTCTTTAGTTGCCCGTGTGTATGTACAATCTTACTACTAGACTTTTCTCAGCTTTAAAAATCATAATTACTCTACTCCATGTCTTTACTCTGTGTCTTGTTTGTCTTTTTTGCTTATTTGTTTTTATTAATAATTTATGAATAATTTTTATTCAGTGCCTATTGCAAGGTTGTCAGTGTGCAAGTACAGTGCCTGGGAAAGTGCTAAATCTACAATGACACCAACAAATATTTGCTGAATTAATATGCTCATGAGTATAAGGGATACAATATGGCAATGGAGTCATTATCTTGGAGAAGTATTCTGACTTTCTGGATGGTTTTCCCAGACCTATTGATTAATATTTGGCCAGGGGGACAGTTATGAAATCACTTAATCTCTCCATTTAGGAAAAGATAGAATATAATGGAAGATTTCATTCTATAGTTGTTACAACTAATGTGAAAATTAATACACTGTGTAGACCAGAATAAATATTCTGAAATTGCACCACATGATGTCAAAGCTATGGGCTGATTTCTTTTTTTTTTTTCTGAAAGACTCTGTCACCTAGGCTGGAGTCCAGTGGTGAAATCTCAGCTCACCTCAACTCCACCACCCAGGTTCAAGCTATTCTCCTGCCTCAGTCTCCTGCGTTGCTGGGACTACAGGCTTGTGCCACCATGCCCAGCTAATTTTTGTATTTTTAGTAGAGACAAGGTTTCACCATGTTGGCCAGGCTGGTCTCGAACTCCTGAGCTCAAGTGATCCGCCTGCTTCAGCCTCCCAAAGTGCCAGGATTACAGGCGCGAGCCACCAAGCCTGGCCTTATTGGTTGTTTTCATCTCCGCAGTGAACCACTCTATCAACCCAACGTACACCCCATAATAGATGAATTTACTTATTTTCTTTTGTTTCAATTTCAGCACCTGCTTTGACTTTGACTTTGTGTGTTCAGAGGTGGAAGCTCTTAAGCATTATACTTATAATAGTGTATCCAATTTAAAAAATATAGAGTATGAATATGAAAGAAATCAATTCTCACTAATTTTTACCTTTTGTGAGATAATATGTTTGTGGGAAAAAAATCTGAGCCAAATTTTTTGTCATGTCTCTTCCCTAGCTTTCTCTTCCTAGTGAATTTTAATTCCTTTCTTTTAGGCATTTCAGAGTAGTATGTACTGCTTTAAAAATGAGACTTTGCCTAACTGCAGATTTTCTTTACGTTACTTCAGTTTGGTGTTATTTTCAGGTTTATTCTTATCTCTTACTTTAAAAAAAATCACATTCCATAATTTCCTTGCCAACATATCACTACTTAATTTTGTACATGTTCTTTATTGCTTTATTGAATATTTACACTAGCAGTTTCTTTATAAAAACAAAACTCAAAAATCTAGAAAGCTGTAAGAAGAAAAAAATATAAACTTTAGTATATGAGAGTTATTATCTTGTATATAGTAGTGATGAATTTCACAATTAAGAAGTGCTATATTTTCAGTGAAGGCTAAAAACAAGAATAATTCATTTGAAAAACATATATTGATTTTATACTAAATTTAGGCAAAGTTTTGGATGACTGACCCTGGACTTATCTGGATTCTTAGTTATCCATCTTTTTCACATTCCTTGCAGCAATGATATTCAAAGTGGGAGAGGAGCGTACAAGATGAATCACTGATGTGCAGAATACAAACATGAGAATTTTTTTTCCTATTTTTATATTTTTATCTTTTATCTCATCCTTTAATTTTTTGTATTTTCCTTATATTGAATACCGGCTAGTACTGTATCTTTGTTCAATAGGTTTAAAAAACCCAAATCTCATGAAAATCATTTCACTTGGGTAACCTTCAGAATAAAGGGACATTTGTAGAATATTAATATATTTGGTGAAATTGTTTAAACACTGTAAGAGGTTTTATATCTATGTAGGAAGAATACTTTTTTTTTTACTTCAAAAAGCTGTCAGTGAACTCTGATAATGACACTTACTGTCAAACTTATCATGCCTCAATTATGTTAACACCTTCTTTTGAAGTTTTCTTTTTAACATGAAAAACACAATTTGTTATAAAAGGTCTCCACACAAGCTGAAAGCATTCAAAGGCCCCCAACAGGCTGCTCTTAAGAGAACTGTAGGCAGGAAAAACTTTATATTCATACTGTGAGCAAGTTCGTTTTCACTTTGCTGTAAGAATAAATCACAAGAAAATGTGCAACTTGGAGGTTCTGAAGCTGTCATGTAAGAGTTTTATAGCATCTGAATCAATCTCCTCAGGACTCCCTGAAAATAATTTCAAAATCTGCAATCAGAAGATCCCTGGGATCCTCAGGCATGGTGTTGTCATTTTTTTGTCTGTTTGGTTTGTTTGTTTGAGATGGAGTCTCACTCCTTCGCCTAGGCTGGAGTGCAGTGGCCCGGTTGATTACAGGTGTGCACCACCATGCCCAGATTATATTTTTATATTTTCAGTAGAGAAGGGGTTTCACCATGTTGGCCAGGCTGGTCTCGAACTCCTGGCCTCAAGTGATCTGCCTTCCTCGGCCTCCCAAAGTGCTGGGATTATGTCATGTTTTACTAATTCAATTATAGAGAGGTCACTTGTACCATGTTTTATGCATTATCCCTGGTCTTTGTTTTTCTAAATTTCTCTTGTTACTTACCATTTTATTTATTTGCAGTTTTTGTCCTTTTACTGTGATTAGACAAGGAGTATGTTGCACACCACTTTCTCTGCTCTTATGCTCCAAGACATCTTCTAGAGATTGGTAAAAGGCAAACTCTTTTATCATTGCTGTATTTTGAAAGGTTTTTCTCTCCTCTAAATCTTAACATCCAGGAGACTGAGACTATTGGTTATATTTAGATCTATTTTCCATGCATTGTAATCATCGGTATCTATTAATATCTCTGAGCTATGCTATGTTCACTAATCAATGCTGCCTACTCTGTGTACTTATCTGCTACATAGTGAACTCGTGTGTGTGTGTGTGTGTGTCTTAACCTTTCTCAAAATATCCATGTTGCACAAGAAGATTTTATGCACTCCTGTATTAGTCCATTTTCATGCTGCTAATATAGACATACCCAAGACTGGGCAATTTGCAAAAGGAAAAGGTTTAATTGAACTTACAGTTCCACATGACTGGGACAGCCTCACAATCATGGCAGAAGGCAAGGAGGAGCAAGTCATGTCTTACATGGATGACAGCAGGCAAAGAGATAATGAGGAAGATGCAAAAGCAGAAACCCCTGATAAAACCATCAGATCTCATGAGACTCATTCACTACCACAAGAACAGTATGGGGGAAACCACCACCATGATTCAATTATCTCCCACTGGGTCCCTCCCACAACATGTCAGAATGACAGGAGTACAATTCAAGGTGAGATTTTAGTAGGGACACAGCCAAATCATCAACTCCCTTCTATTCCTTTGCCTTTTCTTCATCCCCAATTATGTTTTTTTCCCCTCATCTTTGGATCATATTTATCACGGAAGTTCTTCCTTATAAATCCTGTTTTCAATTTCTCTGACAATCTTAAATTGTCCCTTGTCATCTAATTTAAGAAGAATATAAACACATTAAATATAAGGAGATATTCCTTAAGCAAAGAATGCTATTCTCCTTCAAGGCCCCAGTTTAGATAGCAAATGTTGACATAGAACATAGTGTCATTATATGTATCTGTGTTTGTGGTAGAGATCATACAAATATCATTTGAGCCTGCTGGTTCAACACTGCAATGTTCTCAATTTGAGTTTGGCATGTGTGAATTTATGTTACTCTTCAAATTCCCAAATCTATTCCTTGCCAGGTTTTGTGTCATATCTGCCATTTAGTAAAAGTGATTGTGCATTTTTAAAAGAATTTAGTTTCCTGACACTCCAGAAAGCAAGCATTCATAAACCATTTCTCTCTTAGAATACCCGTTTTTCCTGTAGGCTAACCCCATTAGCATCTTGCAATTGATGACTTCTCTCCTCTGTAGGTCTACTTTAGATATTACTCTCCCAGGACAGAAATGGCCAGTTGCTAGCACAGTCACTCCTCTTATGTCTATTGCAGATGTAATTATCATGATACTTTTTCATACTAGCAAAAATAAGCCTGCAACATAACCTTACTGTAGCTACGATCCACTTGTCAGAGTGGCATGTCAATTAAACTATATTTTCCATCTTTGCCATGACACTATATTTCCCAAAAATGCATTTCCTAAAATATGTATTTATTAAATACTAAAGTAGTAGTTCCAATTTCTGGGTAAGAATAACTTACAATGTATACCATATTAAGAATTGTATTTGTTGTGTGTTTTTAAAAGTATATTTTATATACCAGGTTGGCAATTAAATGGAACAAAAGAGCACAGCATTAGCTTTCTCTATTTCTCATCCTCTTTCCTACTCTTTATAGACTAGTCTGAGGACATGCAAATTTTTAATTTAAAAAAAAATTCCAACAGCAATTAGATCAGGAAGTAGGCCACCAGACCCGAACTGTATTTAAATTTATGCAAACACAAACAGAAAAAGAGTAAGAAATTAAGAAGAGTATTTGGATCTTTTCCTCTGAGTGGTTTCTTTTGCTACTCACCCTATTACTTTTTTCACTCACCTGCTTACTTTTTCCATGTATTCTTTAAAAAAAGAACTTCTAAAAATAATTCGACAATCAGAAGTGAATTTATGGTGACAAAGGCTAATTCTAAGTCAATTCTTTTCCCCTGAGTAGGTGTATTTGCTTTAGGTCATACGGCTAAGACACTTCAAACACTGGAGCATCTGATGGAAAAGGGTTACCACTGTGTCATCCAGGACGTGCTTTTATTTCAGCTTTCAGGAAAAATTATAAGTTAGAGGAGACAACAAAAATCATTTAACTTCTGGTTTTCCCTTTTAGTGAAAGCAATCATGGAGAAAATGATGATCATTATCTAGGACACTCGTTTAGATACCCCAGGCAGGCAGGCAGCAGTTCCTGGGCCCATATTTTGCCAGAGAAAGAAAAATGTAGTACTGCCTACTATGCAATTCTTTATTTTCTTCTCAAAGAAAAACATAGACAATCTAAAAGATGTTCGCAGGAATTAAAGAAACAAGGTCAGACTGCCCCAAAGGCCTTCAGAATGTTATTCAGGCTTAATGGTTCTTTTTTCCAGGTCTTTGAGATAGAGAAAGGGGAGACCTTTGTTCAGAATAAGTTACCTCACAACCATAATTATGGGTATAAACAATCCAAAAGCACAGTTCATTTCCACCTAGAAAAGGCCTTGTTGTTGATGTTGCTTGTTGTTTTTTGCAACCGATTAGTACTTGGTTGCATTTGTAATTTGGAAGCTGTGCACATATGCTCCCATCTGTCTTTGGAAGACTACTCTCGGGAACCAGCCTCCTGAAAACATTATATTCCTCCAGTTGGGATTCATTGGTGATCTGTATCAGCTACCTGTTGCTGCGTAACAAATAACCTCAAAACAATGTGGCTTTAAACAATAATTTGTTTTTTCTCATGACTCTGTGGGTTAGGAATTTGGGTCAGGTTTGGCTTGACCCAACTAATCTCCATCTTGTGTTAGCTGTGATCATTTACTCAGATACATTCAAATAGAAGTGGGGCACAGCTAATAACTCCAATAAGTCAATTGGTGCTTTCTAAATTCTTCCCAGAAATCTCTTTAACCGAATTTGCATGTTCGTTAGGTATATTTTCTGTATTTTTCTATCTTCTGTTACCACAGGACTATAACCTTTCTCTAACCCCCCAAATCAATTTTCTTACTGAATTTTAGGCCCCCATTAACAATGTTTTTACTTCACCTCTGGCTTCCACCTACCTCCCACAATGCCATTAAGTATCTATTTTGGGATTTTGTTATGGTGGCACCCTATATCTGGTACAATTTTTTCTTTCAGTTACCTAATTCTGAGTAACAAACAACCCCAAATCTTAGTGGCTTAATGCAACACAACCATCATTTCTCATTTCTTATAAATATTTGTGTTAGGATTCAAGCAGGGTTCTGTTGGATGGCTCTTCAGCTCCACTTGGCATCAGCTGGGGTCACTCCATCAGTGACATCAGCATTCAGATGGTAACTATACTAGGCTGGAGAACCAAGGAAGTTTTATTCCCATGCCTGCTGCTCCAGTCCTTCTCTAGGTGGGATCTCTTGCTCTCTATGTTCTGTCTCATCCTTGAATAGCCTAGCTCAAGTTTCTTTACGTCACAGCAGTCCACTTCACTAAATGGCAAAAAGCCAAAGCTGTCAAGCCACTTAAAAGCTAAGCACACACCCAGACAATGTTCAAAGAGAGGGAAACAGACTCTACTTCTCAATGAGAAGAAAGGCAGACATGTGCATACAGAGAAGAAAGGAATTGTTAATAGGCATATTCATTATCTACCAACCACAAGATCTAACCTGTATTATAAATTTCATGTGAAAGGCTCTAATTTTTATCACTTTAGTTTTCTTTCTTTTCTTTTGAGACTGGGTCTTACACTGTCACCCAGGCTGGAGTACAGTGGTATGACCTCAGCTCACTCTAGCCTCTGCCTCCCAGCTTCAAGCGATTCTGCCACCTCAGCCTCCTGAGTAGCTGGGACTACAGGCACACACCACCATATCTGGCTAATTTTTGTATTTTTTGGTGGAAATGGGGTTTAACCATGTTGGCCAGGCTGGTCTCATGCTCCTGATCTCAAGTGATCCTCCTGCCTTGGCTTCCCAAAATGCTGGGAATTACAGCATTTTGGGAGGCCATGGTACCTGGTCTAATTTTATCACTTTCCAGTGAAGGGACTTAATATACATCCATATACTTTATCAAAGAAAGTGAGTTTTTTTGAGAACCGAGAGGGTGGCTCAACATACCACATTTTCTACACCTAAATGTTGCCATAAGTTTGAGTTTTCTGAAAATATACTATTCTGTGTGTGTATGTTTCCATCAATATGTATTACTTAGAAGAATATCATCTTATTTTAGAATCCCATTTATTATGCAACAGTTTGGTTCATACTGGCTTCTAAGTCTGTCCAATTTATAGCCATACTTCTCTGGTTTCAAAGATAAACTTCAACTGTAGTTCAAGAATCCTTTTACTTAACTACTGGTCACCAACTCAAAATCTTGAAATACTGCCATTCTTCCCTCAGTATTCCAAAATGCCATTAATACTAGACTTCGACTGGAGGTTTAAGAGTAAAATAATTGACAAAGGATTGTTGCAGTTAAATTCCAATCTTACTCATGCTACATATAAACTTGATATTTGCTGCCTCAAGAAATTCTTCACTAACCATGTCTTGCTCTTAAACCCTAGCCTCTGAACACATTGTCAATTCATTATCAATGAATATACATTGTCTTCGCAGAAACCCTGTTCTTTCTTTTTCTCAGATTTCCCACCTCTGGTGACTTTGCAAACTCAAAGTCCTGCTACTCTTTTAATAGATCAATTTATTCCTCTTATCCCATATTTTTGCATCTATGTTTTTAAAGGGTATCTTACCTTTGCAAAGGAAAAATCCCACAAAATGATTTTTTGAAATAAGATTCACTTATCAGAGAGAAAAATTTTGACTCCTTAGTGACTGCTTTTAATATTTGTTTTAAATTGCAAAACTTCCTTCCCCTTAAAGATACAAATAATTGAGTGAGATATGTATTGGAAGATACAAACTTTTAGAAGAATTAGAAGTGATTCTTGACACGGAGTGGAGTACAGAGGAGCACATTAAAATAACTCTGGATATTTTCAAAATAGAAACACGAGCCTTACTGTCAACACTGGAGTTTTGGAGGAGGCATAGGGTGTGGGTCCATATTAGCCACAACCTAATGAATATTGTGGTAGTGAACCTGTCAGTGTTGGTTTTTTGTTGGATGTTTTCTTTTATAATTCAGGTTTGTTTCGGTGGAAAAGTTTGAGCGCCGGGTGCATTATATATGAATTAGAATATAATTCAAAGCCAAAAGAGTGATTGCATATTTTAGTAATTATTATTTTTGTTCATCATAAGCCTCGTTGTATTTCTTTTATATAAAATATATATATATAAACAAAGATACATATATATACACATATGTATATAGAGAAGAAACATATATAAACATATATAAAACAAAGAAATAGGAATTGGCCAGTGTATACATCTATCAAAGTATGAGCAAAGATTAGAACCCAGGTCTTTTTTCTTTCAAAGTGTGTGCTTTTCCTGTAATAAGTAGCTGTTGTAAAGCATGTGCTCCTATAAACCACTGCCAGCGATTAGGGAGGAGAGAGAGTTAAGGTGCTGTCTTTTCCATTTCTAGGATCAGGGAGCCAGTGTGTGGGGGGAGGTTAGCGAAGACTAAAGTCAGAAGAAGAGAAAGTATAAGGTCAAATCCATTGTGACACTTTTTCTTTGCTTCAGAAGCAATGTTGAAGTGGCCACAGGGAGCAGAATGATCCAAAAAACAGATTTGCACATTTCTCTGAAGTCTAAGATGGGGACTATAACTTGAGCTTTGCAATACTATGTATTCCAGTGACTAGCTATCATCTAGCTAGTTGACAATGTTTCTTCTCGCTATCCCTCCTTTCTAAAAATAGTTTTGTTGAGATGTAATTCTCATACCATATAATTTACTCATTTAAAGTGTGCAATTTAATGCCTTTTAGTGTGTTAACTTAGTTGTATAACTATCACAATTTAATTATAAAATATGTTCTTTTATTTGGCAGAGAAATGTAATTTAGTTTTTTAATATTTAAATTTTTTTGTGGTAAAAAGCATATAACATAAAATTTGCCATTTTAGCCTTAGTTAAGTTTATTAGTGTTAAGTGTATTCACATTGAGGCAAAATACATGAATAGAAACTTTTCAAAAAAAGACATACTTGTGGCCAACAAACACATGAAAAAATGTTCAACAGCACTAATCATTAGAAAAATGCAAATCAGAACCACAATAATATAACATCTCACAACAGTCAAAATGGCTGCTACTAAAAAGTCAAAAAATAACAGATGCTGGTGAGATTATGGCAAAAAGAGAATATTTACACACTGCTGGTAAGAGTATAAATTAGTCCAGCCATTGCAGAAAGCAATGTAGGAATTCCTCATAGAACTTAAAACAGAATTACCATTTGACCCAGCAATTCCATTATTGGGTATACACCCAAAAGAATATAAATAATTATACCATAAAGATATATGCACTTGTATGTTCACTGCAGTATTATTCACAATAGCAAAGACATGGAATCAACCTAAATGCCCATCCATGGTACCTGGATAAAGAACATGTGGTGCATATACACCATGGAATACAGTGTATGTGCCATGCAGCCATAAAAAGAACAAGATTATGTCCTTTACAGCAACATGGATGGAGCTCCAGGCCATTATCCTAAGTGAATTAGCAGAGAAACAGAAAACCAAATACTGCATGTTCTCATTTATAAGTGGCAGCTAAACAGTGAGGAACGTGGGCGCAGAGAGAGGAATAACAGACACCGCGGCCTACTTGAAGGTGGAGGTGGGAGGAGGAAGAGGATCAGGAAAAAAACCCATCAGGTAGTATGCTTACAACCTCGGTGATGAAATATTAATAATCTGTACACCAAACCACCATGACACAGTTTACATATATAAAAAACCTGAACCTAAAATAAAAGTTAAACAAAAGTTTACCCATATGTACTTTATCATAAAACATGTAAAGAGGCATTTGTTTGGAATTACATATTAGTCTACATTATTTAATTTTTTATGTCATATATGTTTTTATTTAAAAACAGCATGAGTTAACAGTGTCAATCACTAGTAACTACTAAATAATAGTTTGAATAAGTAAACAAGCAGGCGTTGGAGAAAAAAGAATATTCAAATTGTTAGGCAATACATCTCCAGAATTTATCTTTTAAATCTGAAACTCTATACCCATTAAATAAGAACTCTCTGTTTTCCTGTCTCCCTATGCCCTGAAAACTGTCATTCTACTTTAAGTTTTTATGAATTTGACTACTCTAGGTACCTCACATCCAGAAATATATACACATATATAGAGAGAGATCAAGTTAAGTTTATCCCAGGAACATGAGTTTGGTTTCATATTAGAACATAAAGTTGTATAGTTAATGCTTAATCAACTTTTTTTTTAACTTTTATTTTAGGTTCAGGTTTGTTATATAAGTAAACAGTATCATGTTTAAATTTGGTTTAATATGGGAACATAAAGTTGCATAGTTAATTTCATTAACAAATCATAGAAGAAAAATTAAATAATCATCAATATATGCAGAAAAAGCATTTGAAAAAATTGAAAATTATTTTATAATTTTAAAATAAAACTGAGAATACTGAGAATAAAGGGAATTTATTTATTTCTGATTTCTGATCAAAGATTTCTTTCTTTAAAAAGTACAGAATAAAAGCTTCCACACAGTAAAAGAAACTATGGACAAAGTGAAGAGACAACCCAAAGAATGGGAGAAATTGTTTGCAAACTATCCATCTGACAGGGGTTAATAACCAGAATATATAAGGAGCTCAAAAAACTATCTAGGGAAAAAAATCTAATAGTCTGATTAAAAAATGGCAAGAGATCTGAATAGACGTTCCTCAAAAGAAGACATACCAATGGCAAACAGTATATGAAAAGGTGTTCAACATCATTGATCATCAGAGAAATGCAAATCAAAACTATAGTGAGATCTCTCACCCCAGTTAAAATGGCTTTTATTCAAAGGACAGGCAATACAAATCCTGGCAAGGATGTAGAGAAAAGAAAACCCTTCTACACTGTTGGTAGGAATGTAAATTAATACAGCCACTAGGCAGGACAGTTTGGAGGTTCCTCAAAACCCAAAAATAGAACTACCGTAATATGATCCAGCAATCCCACTGCTAGGTATACACCCAAAAGAAAGCAAATCAGTACATCAAAGAGATATCTGCACTCCTATGTTTATTACAGCACTATTCACAATAGCCAAAGTTTGGAAGCAACCTAAGTATCCACCAACAGATGAATGGATAAAAAAAATGTGGTACATATACACTGTGGAGTACTATTCAAGCATAAAAAATAATGTGATCTTGTCATTTGCAATAACATGACTGGAACTGGAGGATACTATGTTAAGTGAAATAAGCCAGGCCTGGAAAAACAAAATTTGCATGTTCTGATTTGTGTGAGCCAAAAATTGAAACAATTGAACTCGTGGAGATAGAGAGTAGAAGGATGGTTACCAGAGGCTGAGAAAGGTAGTGTTGGTGAGAAATTTGGGATGGTTACTAGGTACAAGAATACAGTTAGACAGAATGAATAAGATCTACTATTTGATAGTACAACAGGGTGACTACTAGTTAACAATAATTTATTGTACATTTAAAGATAACTTAGAGAGTATAATTGGGTTGTTTGTAACAAAAAGAAAATATAAATTCCTGAGGTGATGAATCCCCCATTTATCCTGATGTGATTATTACACATGGTATGCCTGTATCAATGTATCTCATGTACTCCATAAATATATATGGCTACTATGCATCCACAAAGATAAAGATAAATTGAAAAAATTAAAAAGTATATTAAATACCATATTTAATGGTGAAGTATTGAAAGTATTCCTTTTAAGATCAGAAAGAAGACAGGAATATCCACTAACACTTCTACGTAACAAGTTACTAAAGGTCCTTACCAGTGCAATACGTAAGACAAGTAAAAGACATACAGATTAAAAAGGAAAAGCATAACTTTGGTTATTTGCAGATTGATGTAATTGGCTCTGAAGAAAAGCCAAGAGAATCTAAAGATCAATTATTAGAAAATAATTAGGTTGGTGCAAAAATAATTGCAGTTTTTGCTATTAAAAGTAATGGCAATTACTTTTGCACCAACATAATTGTAAGAGAGTTTAGCAAAGCTTCTGGGTATAAAATCAATACAACATTCATTTAAAAAAGAAGAAAACCATGTCATATAATGCAATGTGGATGCAATTTGAGGATGTTATGCTAAGTGAAATAAGACAACCACACGTGTGCACACACACACATATAGATAAATATTTTCTTTCCAACATCTGAGTTGTTTCCACTTGTTGGCTATTATGAATAATGCTGTTATAAAGATGCATGCATAAGTATTTGTACCAGCATGTTTTCTTTTCTTTTGGGTATATACCTAGCAGTGTGATTGTAGTATCATATGGTAATTCAGTGTTGAACTTTTTGAAGAACTGCCAAGCTGGTTTTCAATGTGGTGGCCCAGCTTCCATTCTCAGGAGCAATGCATGAGGATTCCAATTTCTCATCTTTGCCAGGACAGTTATGTGTTGTTTAACAATGAGGATATGTTCTAAGGAATGCGTCATTAGGCAATTTCATCATGGTGTGAACATTACAGAGTGCATTTACATAAATCTAGATGGTGGAGTCTACTACATACTTAAGCTATGTGGTATAGCCTGCTGCTCCTAGGCTAAAGACCTGTACAGCATATGACTGTACTGGATAATGCAGGCAATTATAACACAATTGTAAGTATTTGTGTATCTAAATATGTCTAGACATAGAAAAGGTACATCAAAGATATGATAGAGAAAATAAATGATATACCTGTATCTGGCATTCACCATGAATGGAGCTTGCAGAACTGGAAGTTGCCCTGGATGAGTCAGTGAGTGAGTGGTGAGTGAATGGGAAGGCCTAAGGTATTATATATACTACCATAGACTTTATAAACACTGTAAACTTAGGCTACACTCAATTGCTAAACATTTTTTAAAATTTGGTAATAATCTGTTAATCTTAACTTGTAAATTTTTTACTTTATAAACTTTTTAAAACAATTTTTGATTCTTTTATAATAACAGCTTAAAACAAACATATACAACTGCACAAAACCATTTTCTTTCTTTATAGTCTTATTCTATAAGCTTTTTCCTATGTTCATTTTTTTTCTTACTTTTTAAATTTTTTGGTTAAAAACTAAGACACAAACACACACATTAGCTCAGGCCTACACAAGGAGAGGATCATCAATATCACCATCTTCCACATCCACATCTTGTCCCACTAGAAGGTCTTCAAAGGCAAAAACACGGATGGAGCTGTCCTCGTCTATGATAACAATGGCTTCTTCCGGAATACCCCGAAGGACCTGCCTGAGGCTATGTTACAGTTAACTTATTTTTTTTTTTAAGTTGAATAAGTACACTCTAAAATAAGGATTAAAAAGTATAGTAAAGAAGCCAGTAACATAGTCATTTATTATCATTATCAAGCATATATCCTACATAATTTTATGTGATAGACTTTTATATGACTGGCAGCACAGGAGTTTTGATTGCAGCAACAGTCCCACAAACATGTGACGCATGCTTTGCACTATTGTAGTAAGATGGCTGCAACATCACTAGGCAATAGAAATTGTTCAACTCCCTTGTAATCTTACGGGGCCACCATACAATATGCAGTTCATGTTAATTATATGGTGCTGACTATACCTGCTATAATTTGTCTTTTTGCTTATAGACATCCTAGTGGGTGTCAGTGTGATGCATGTTATATTAAAATGTTTTAAGTATTTTTTGTTACAAAATAAATGAGATGGTTACAAGTGAAGCTAATAGGATAACAAATAATTGCCCAACTACCAAAAAACAAGAGAAAAAGGTTTATTTCTTGTTCATATCAGCATAAATATGTGTAGAGGAATGGCAGGTGGGAGGAAACAGAGCTGCAGTTATCCAGGAAACCTATTTCCCATAGCGGGTTCAGCCACCCCATCTGCAGAGAGAGGCACACGGTTGGCATGGAGAGATATTTGGGAAGTGCTAGGGAACAGCTTATCAATGGCTTGCATCACCTACCCACATTTCATTTCTCAGAATTCAGTCATCTGTCTCACGTCATCACAGGGAAAGGTGGAAAATACAATCTTGCCAAGTGTCCAAAAGATGAAGAAAATAAAGCTCAAGAATATATGCATTTTCTCTGCCACCACAGATGCTATAAAAAATAACTGAGCAATTCTACTTAAACAATGTTCTTGATAACAAGAATTTTGCTTTTTAATTCTGATAGAAACTTGTTGTACAATCTTAGTATAAGCATTAAATGTTTCTAGTGGCAGTTCTTCATTCTTAAATTAGTTCTTGATATCTGCATGACTTATATGCCCAATATTTTACTGCCTTGTGGTGTAAAAAAGTCTTCAAAATTTGTATTATCGTAATGAAATTTAACGGCCTCTAGAATTATTTATCAATCCATTGAACACAATTTAAAAAACAAAATCCTCCTTGATATGTTTTTAAAAACCTCCCTAAATCTGATGTTTAACCTATTATTATAATGGAAAGTAAAATTATGTTCCCACATTTAAAGTTTATTAGGTTATTTCACATGGAACTGCTGTTTGCAATACAGATTCTAACCTGATTGTGTCTATAAATATATTTACCAAGCTTTTAAACTGAAATTATTGGCTTCATAAATACTGAAATCCTCTTTGGCATTGTAATCTTCTGTGGTGTAAATCCTGTATATTCAAATTTTATATGCATATATATTGTATGTATCATAATAATATTACCAGAACCCTAGGCAATAAATGTTGAATATAAATTTAGCTCTTCATGTAAATATTCAGATTTTAATTCTTTGAACTTAAGAAGCTTTTTATTTGTAGAAAGACAAATTAAATCCTGTATTTTATGTATTTATATGCCACACATAATCTTGGAAATGTTGTGCTTTTGTTTTCTAAGGGTAAATTTTAATATTTATATTTCTTCTGGATTGGCCAGCATGTGCCAACCCAGCTTTTAAAATTTCTGCTTTTATTTCTGTATTTAAACTAGTAGATTTATTTACATTTTTTAACCTTTCCTTTTTACCTTGTCTTCTCAATTTCACTTTCACTCTTTCATGTTAGGTTATATTCTCAAGTCATTATCAAGACAGCAATGTAGTGATTAATTAAAATGCTCATATGTATGTAGAAAATACAGAGATGAGGCCAGACCAAAAAAGCAAAGAAAAATATTTGGTTACTCTATGCATAAAAATATTTGCTCCTGAATTATATATGACCTGATCTAAAAGATATTGGAAATAGTACTAAAGGCAAGAGGCCTATTTCGATATTCATAGAATACCAAGGGTGATTGGTATTCTATGTATCCACCACACAAATCTGTGGATACTACAATAGGTCTCACCTTCACCCACTACATAAAAAAGAAAAGCAATACAGAAATACAGCTTTGACTTCATTTTCCATCTATGTCTGCTGATAATATAATTTACAACATTTTAATTGCTCCAGAGAATTAAAGAAGACAAAGCATTATCGCTTCAGGATATCTGAATCCCCAGTGTCATTTTCAGATAACTCTGTTTATCTTTTTGTAATCTGACTCTCTGATGGTTTACAATAATCTAACAGCTTGCTTTTTTAAAAAAAATTATTATGGTGAGTACTCAATATATCTGGGAATCTGTAAGAGTTTAAGTTTTAGAACCTTTAAGTTCAGGGAATTTTTTAGTGTTATTTTATCAATGATTCCTTCCCAGCTGTTTTTCATGCCCTATGTTTCCATAATTCCTACTAAATGGGATGTTTATTTCTGAGATAGATCCATAATTTTTTATCCTTTTCTTCCCACTTTCCATTTTTCTGTCCCTTCTTTTCAAGAGTCATCCTTAGTTTTATGTTACAACTCTTAAAAATGAAAGTGAGGACACTATTCTATTTTTCTTAATATTTATTTTGAAATATGCATAGATTCACAGAAGTTACAAAGATAGTACACAGGTATCTGAGCACAATTTATCCTAATTTTTCCAATGTTTCTATCTTACCTAATTAAAGTACAAGATCTAAACTAGGAGTTTAGCATCTGTGCAATGTGTGCAGGTAGGTCTAAGTGATTTTATTACATGTGTAGGTTTGTAAAATTGCCACCACAATCAATATACAGAATTATTTCATTATCGCAAAGATTTCTCTTGTGTTACCCTTTAGAATTCTTCCCTGACCTATAGATTATTTAGAAGTGTAGTGTTTAGTTTGGATATGTTCCTGTTATGTTTTGGTTACTGATCTTTAGTTTTATCTCCCTATACTCATAGCACATACTCTGTATGCTTTAAATTTTTAAAAAATTGGTTAATGCTTGTTTTATGGCCCGGGGTATGATCTGGTGTATGTTACCAGATGTATAGATACACCTTGCTGTATGTTAGTGGGCGCTTGACAAAAATGTATTTTTTGTTGTTGTTAGATGGAGTGTTCTATAATGTGGATTAAATTCTATTGGCTGACAGAATTGTTAAATTATTCTATAATTGTGCTGTCTTTCTAATTGTTCTACCAATTGTTGAAAGAGGGATGTTATTTGCCTCAGTTTTTGTTTTACGTATATTGTAACTCTGCCGTTGGGTAATTTTTTTTCCTGGCACTTTCTGCTTCTTTGCTGATACTTCCTATTTTTTAATTTGTCTCATTTCTGTTTGTAAATGGCCAATGGGAAACATTTTTATTGTCTACTTTAATCTTTGTCAGATAACTTTAACATCGATTTCATCTTAGTGTTGAAGTTTGTTAAATGGTCTTTTCTCATTCGATTTTAAATATGTCTCATTCATTGTGTGGTTCTGCTAAGAGATGGTAAATTCCTTCACTCTCCACCAGCCTTCCAATGACACTTCCCCAGTAGAGAGAGGAAGGGGTACCTCATAACCACTGGATGGGGGCGGAAGTCCAGTCTTCCAGGCATGCTCACCACTGACACCATGGGGGTTGGAAATACTCTGTTATATTCTGATGAAGGGGAAGGGCTGAGCTCCATGTGGCCTTTGCTGGCAAGGACTGCAGTTTCTCTGTGGTGTTTGTCTGGAGCAGAGCAGTTATTGTCTAAAAATCTTCTGTTTTCTTAAGCTCCCTCTTTCCCACCCTTTGGCTAGAAAGATTTTGGGGGGCTCTTTATTTTTCTGCACCTGTTGACATTTGCTGTTTGCCAGCTTCAACACCTAGTCTGAGATACATGAGACAAAGCAAATGTAGGAAGTTCACCACTGTGTTCTTCCTTGAGTTTTCAGCTCCCTAACCAGCCAGCCTTCTCTCCACATTTCAGAGTCCTCTTTCATTTATTAAATATATAACATCCAGAACATTTAGTTGTAGTTAGAAGGGGGATGTAGGGAAAAAAAAACACATCTAATTCATCTTCCTGGAAGCAGAAGACTCAAGTATTCTATTTTTAATTACCAGAAGTTCATTCTTGTTTCTTTTCTTCAGAGTAATTTATACTTGTATCTTGTCTCTTTAATGACAGTAATTGCGTTTGGCTTTTTTGATACTTTCCTCTCCCCATTATTGTCTCTATTTCTTCTACCTTGT